>NC_000010.11:48779458-48930974 GCF_000001405.40 Homo sapiens
GGGAAAAACATTGGGAGGCCCTATGAAACAGTGGAAGCGGCTGACACCCTTGTACACAGCACAACTGCCTATCCAACTCTCTGGGACTCGGCCTACAATGGAGTCTCTGTGGAGGTAGTCTACCTTGGGATAGACCTGAAGCCTGGCTTCTGGGTTTGAATCCTGGCTGTATGACCTTGGGCAAGTCACCCAACCTCTCTGTGCCTCAGGATGGTAAATTGGGCATGTATGAGCGCCTACCTCACAGGGCTGTGAACATGACATGAGTTGATATTTGTAACATGCTTAAAACTGGCACAAAGGAAGAGCTCAAAGAATGACTGCTGCTATTGCTGCTGCTGTTGTCATTTTTCATGAGAGGAGGATCTAGGGCTCCATGGTACAAGGCCCAGTGGTTGACGTCCGCCTATGCCCTCCCCATTCTCCTGGGTTCCTGCAGTGTAGCACCACACGTGAGACTCAGTGTTCATGCTGTCTTCCAGATGTCATGGAACCTGAGGATGACTCCGAGCCTTCTGCAGGATGCCAGCTTCAGGTCAGGTGTGGCCAGCTCCTGGCTTGTGGTCAGTGGCATCACTTGGCTGTGGTTGTCACTAAGGAAATGAAAAGGCATTGTACAGTTTCCACCTGTCTGGATGGACAGGTCATTGGCTCTGCCAAGGTGAGATGGCTCCTCCAAGCTGCACTTGCCCCACAACCATACCTCCTGCTACTACCCTGAAGTGGCCTCGGTTTCATTCTATGTTTTTGTTGTTGTTTGTTTGTTTGTTTATTACTGGTAGGGTTGGCATCTAATGAAATCTGCCTTACTGTTCAGGAAACTTGGCTGAGTTCAGACATGAAAAGGACATCTTTAGAAAATGCATTGAAGGTCACGCTACCAGGGCAGAAGGCAAGACATGCATCCAGGTCTCTAAGAATAGTCATGTTCATGAAAATAGAAAACTCCAGAATGAACAAAGCAAAGCTTCTCATTTTGAGGGGCAAACTCCTCAGGGAGGTCTGGGCAGGGCCTAAGGTATGACTTTTCCAAGAAGCTCCCAGGTGAGGCCAACGCAGCTCATCTTTGCACCACACGGAGGAGCAGGACACTAGAGTGGGCAGACACCAACACGTGTCGTCAGATTTAGAGCAAGAACCATGAGGAAGGTAATAGAATGCAAATGTATAGCTGGAGGAAGCATCTCATGGCTGTCATTTAGAGACACCCCAGGTATAAGAGAAAGCTGGGAAAAGGTGGAGCTGGCAGGCGCCAGCAGCCATTGTCAGAGAAGAGAGGGCCCGGAGGACCATAGAAGGCAGGTAGGGCTGGATTTTCACACAAGTTCCAGGGAGAGCATCCCAAGCTGGCTGCATTTTAAAATCACCTGCAAAGGCTTTTTAAAGTTCTCTTGCACAGGCTGCACCCAGAATAATTACATCAGAATCTCTCTGGGTCAGGTAATTTGACAACTTACTAATGTTTGTAAAATTTTCTAGGTGATTCTAATATGCAGCCAGAATGGAGAACCTTACATACACAGGGTTTCTGGATTCCCCCTAAATGCCATAGTGTTCCTCCCCTGACCTTGCCCAGTTGTGACCACCAGTAACATCTCCAGACATTTCCAAATATACCCTGGGGGTCAAAGTTGTTCCAGGTTAAGAGTCATCAGATGAGAACAAATTCTTAGTCCCAAATTCTGTGGGACACATATAGGTGAATTTGATACCATCTGCTGGTAAAGTTCTGTTATCAAAAAAAGGCAGTGATGACCAAATATATATATATGTGTGTGTGTGTGTGTATATATATATGTGTGTGTGTGTATATATATATATGTGTGTGTGTGTGTATATATATATATGTTTTTTTGAGATAGGATTTCGCTCTTGTCGCCCAGGCTGGAGTGCAATGGTGCGATCTCAGCTCTCCGCAACCACTGCCTCCAGGATTCAAGCGATTCTCCTTTCTCAACCTCCTGACTAGGTGGGATTACAAGCGCCCACCACCATGCCCACTAATTTTTGTATTTTTAGTAGAGACGGGGTTTCACCAGGCTGGCCAGGCTGGTCTGAAACTCCTGACCTCAGGCGATCCACCTGCCTTGCCCTCCCAAAGTGCTGGGATAACAGGTGTGAGCCACTGCGCCTGGCTGACCAGAAAGATTTTGACAGGGGCATTGAAAGAACAGGTCCTTCAAAACATAGTTAACCTTTTCTGCAATTATTAACAATATCAGTCCTCCCTCCTTCCCTTTCTCTCTTTCTTCTTTTCCTCATTAAATATTTATTGAGCACCTGTTATGTGTTAGCTAATATTTTAGGTGCTAAGAATTGTTTATGCCTATAAGCTAAAGACCTCCAGGAACATACATATAGTATAAGGTGCTAAGAATTGTTTTAGGTTCTAAGAATTATTTATGCTTATAAGCCAAAGACCTCCAGGAACATACATATAGTATAAAATAAAAATTAGATTTAAACTGACTATAGCAAGAGATTTCCTATCCCATGGGGTAGTAAGGAGTTAGGAGTGGCTTGTTACAGAAACTAGATTCATTTTAGGTGATTTTTAAAAGGGTTTAAAGAAGTGGAGGTCTGTCTGTTCTGAATTGGGTGCTGCTGGAAAGAGGTGCAATTTGGTGACTGTGAATGTTAATAACTTTTATCCAGAAGGTAGAGACACGGAACAGGGCTGGACTTATCATTAGAGAGGAAGCAGAAGTCCCTCACATTAGTTGGGATGGGATGTGTGGTGTCTTTTGTGGTTGCAATATCTTTGTTTTTATCTGTTTAGGCTCAATTACTGAGTTCACTTGTTCTTGTCTTCTTTCACAGAATATGTTGATATTTTGTGAAATACTTCAAATACCTTGAGGCATGTCTTATTGATGTTTGTACCTTCCTTGAACTTGGCGCAGGGGCTGACACACAGTAAGCATGGAATAAACACTTGATGAACTGAATTGAATGTGCAGCCACAGGAGGAACATGACTGGCTGCTAGTGTGGTTGGGTGAAGTGGTACAGGCATTAACATCCTCCCTGCGGGACCTGCTAAGCCTAGGGCCATCAACAGGGAGGTCAGGAGTGGTGTGTTGCTATATGGAGTGGCCAAAGCCAAGACTGACAGAGTGCGCTTTCCAAAATAATCTCAACAAGTTGGGTCAGGACCAGCAAGTGAAACTCAACCAAGATAAACATAAAGGCCTGTGTTTTGATGCAAACATCTGTTGGACAAGAGTAAGATGTGAGAACTTCAGCTTAATTTGACTAGTTTAACAGCCCTTCTCAAAATGCTGAGCCTTTGTTTTTATTGCCAAAGGAAACTTACATAAATTTGTAAAGATATGGAGCATTTTAATAGTTTGAATTGGGCAAAATGATTTGGGAACGATATGAGACATTAGACATTTATTAGGCAACCTGAATGGGGCAGTGTGCATACACTGGGAATTTGGAAGACAGGAGCAAGGTGGGTTGGAGGGGTGAGTGGTGCTTCAGTGTGGGAGAGAGAGGAGGACTCTGTGCCTGCGAGAACAGAGAGATAAGAGAGCACAGAAAATCATACTCCTGGCAAGCCTTGATGGCTGAACAATTGGTTTGTTTTTATTTGAAAATCTCACTTAATTGGTAGAGTGAAAAAGAATATTTCTGAAATTCTGTAAACTCTCATTTAGAAAAATACAGTCATCCCTCAGTTTCCTCAGGGGATTGGCTCCAGGACCCTTCCTGGATACCAAACTGCATGGATACTCAAGTCCCTTAAATAAAATGGTGTAGTATTTGCAAATAATAGATGCATACCCTCCTGCATGCTTAACTAAGCTCTAGATGATTTATAATACCTAATACAATGTGAATGCTACATAAATAGTTGTCATACTGTATTTTTTTATTTGTATTTTTTATTGTTATAGCACTATTTTTTATTGTTCTTTTTCCTGAATATTTTTGAGCCAAAGTTGATTGAATCCAAGGATATGGAACCCCCAGATATGCAGGGCCAATTGTACATATTTATATATGTACAATTGTATATATCTTATGTATATATCTTATGTATAAAATCAAAGATGTATATATCAAATGTATATATCTTATATATAGTGATTTTATAGTAATTATAAGAATAATATAAATGCATTTTGAAATAGCTCAAAAATAGAGAAAAGATTAGCTACCCTCCTACTACTTTATCATATTTTGTAATTTCAGTTTTATCCCTTTAAAAAATAGTGTGGCCTCGAAGTATAGAAAATCTTGTATACTGCTTAGTTCATTTAACCTCTCATTTAACCTAACACTTAGGCTATATGGTATAGCTTATTGCTCCTAGGCTATAAACCTAGACAGCATGTTGCTATACTGAATACTGTAGGCAACTGTAACACAGTGGTGAATATTTGTGTATCTAAACACTCTAAACATGGAAAAAGTACAGTAAAAATATGATATTATTATCTGATGGACCACCATTGCATATGTGCTCTGACACTGACTTGGAACATTGTAATGTGGCACACAGCAATATATGGAAGTATACTTGGAAATTCATCCAAACTTTTGCCTGTAGCCACAGTTCATTCTTTTTTATTTCTGAGTAGTATTTCAAGGTATGGATGTGCCATAGTTTGTTTAGTCATTTATCCATTGAAAGACATCTGGGATGTTTCAGGTTTTGGCTATTACAAATAAAGCTTTGTGAGCATTTGTGTACAGGTTTTTGTGTGAATTTAAGTCTTCATCTATCTGGGATGAATTCCAAGAGTTCAATTGCTGGTTTCTATGGTAATTGAATGTTTAGTTTTATAAGAAACTGCCAAACTATTTCGAAAATGATTGTATCATTTGACATTTCCGCTAACAATGGATGAGTGAGGCAGTTTTTCTGCACTTAGCATTGTCACTATTTTTATATTAGCCATTTTGATAGTTGTGTAGTAATATCTCACTGTGTTTTTAATTTGTATTTCCTTAGTGGCTAATGAGGTTGAACATCACCTTTTCATGTGCTTATTTGCCATCTGTATATTCTCCTCAGTGATGTCCATCCATATTTTTTGCCCATTTTCTAATTGCATTGTTTGCTTTTTTTTTTTTTTTTTTTTTTTTTTTTTTGAGATGGAGTCTCACTCTGTTGGCAGGCTGGAGTGAAGTGGTGCAATCTCGGCTCACTGAAACCTCTGCCTCCTGGGTTCAAGTGATTCTTCTGCTTCAGAATCCAGAGTTGCTGGGACTACAGGTGCCCACCACCATGCCTAGCTAATTTTTGTATTTTTAGTAGAGATGGGTTTTCACTATGTTGGCCAGGATGGTCTCAATCTCCTGACCTCGTGATCTGCCCACCTCAGCCTCCCAAAGTGCTGGGATTACAGGCATGAGCCACCACACCCAGTTGCATCGTTTACTTTTTTTTTTTTTTTTTTTTTGAGACGGAGTAGTCTCGCTCTGTCACCCCAGGCTGGAGTGCAGTGGTGCGATCTCGGCTCACTATAAGCTCCGCCTCCTGGGTTCGCGCCATTCTCCTGCCTCAGCCTCCCCAGTAGCTGGGACTACAGGCACCCACCACCATGCCTGGCTAATGTTTGTTGTGTTTTTTAGTAGAGACAGGGTTTCACCATGTTAGCCAGGATGGTCTCGATCTCCTGACCTCGTGATCCGCCTGCCTCGGCCTCCCAAAGTGCTGGGATTACAGACGTGAGCCATTGCGCCTGGCCTTAAACTGTTGAGTTTTAAGGGTTTTAGGGTTTTAAAATGTATACATATATGTGTATGTGTGTCTATATATATACATATATATTCTAGACACTAGTCCTTTGTTAGATATGTGATTTGCGATAATTCCTCCTAGTCTGTAGCATGTCTTTTAATCCTCTTTCACATGGGTAAAATTTCTGGTTTTGCTGAAATATAATTCATTAGTTTTTCCTTATATGACTCATGCTTTTGGTGTCGTTTGAGAATATTTTGCCTAGTCCTAGATCCTGAAGATATTCTCCTATTTTTTTCCCTAAAAATTTTCTAGTTTTACGTTTTACACTAGAGTTTGCAATCAATTATGAATTAATTTTTGTATAAGGTGTAAGGTTTAAGTTCATTTCTTTGCCTGTGGATGTTCAATTGCTCCAGCACCATTTGTTGAAGAGTCTATCATTTCTCAATTGAATTGCTTTTGCATCTTTGTCAAAAATCAGGTGAGCATTCTTATATAAGCTTATTTCTGGGTTCTCTATTCTGTTCCATCGATCTATGTGGTTATCTTTATACCAATGTCACACTATATTGATTTTATAGCTATATAATAAGTCATTATTAGAGTAGTTCCTCCCCCAAATTAATTCTTCTTTTTCAGAGTTGTTTAAACTATTCTAGGACCTGTGCCTTCCCATATACATTTTAGAATTAGCTTGTTTGTGTCTACAAAAGACCTTGCTGGAATTCTGATAGTCTACAAAAAACCTTTCTGGAATTGCATTATACTTACTGATCAACTCGAGGGGAAATAATATCTTTACTATAGTGAACCTTTCTATCCATGAACCTGGTATGTCTCTCCATTTATATAGGTCGTCTTGGACTTTTTCCATCATCACTTAGGAATTTTCAGTATACAGATCCTCTACTTGTCTTACTAAGTATTTCATTTTCTTGTGCATAATTGTAAGTGGTATTGTGTTTAATTTTAGTTTCTGTTTGTTTATTGTTAGCCTACACAAATAAAATTGATTTTTGTGTATTGATCATGTATCCTGTGACCTTGCTGAATTCACTTATTCTAGGATATTAAAAAAAATTCCTTGGAACTTTCTACATGGACATGATAGAAACAGTTTTATTTCTTCCTTTCCACTCTGTATGTATGTAATTATTGTTCATACATAAAACTATTAATTTGCCAATACTAGACATTCAGGTTCTTAGTAGAATGACTGAGATAAGAAAGGTGTACACTTTTTTGTTTCTTAATATTTTTTATCAAATTTATTTTCAAAAGGACAGTATCAGTTTTTTACTCCACATTTAATAACTTGTTTTGCGCATACTTCTGAGATTTGAGAATTATATTTTAGTTTTTTAGATAAAATACATTTTTACTATGAGATGAGAATAAGATGCATCATGTTATATCACTTTGTATTTACTTGATTAACTCTGAGATCAAACACTACTCACTCTTGTCCTTTTTATTTTAACAGATGTTATACATCCAGGCTCTACCAGGGCCTTTCCTTTCTATGGATCCATCCGCATTTGTGGATGTTTATGGATATATTGCTACTCCTCGAGTCTGGAAACAAAAGTCTTCATTAATCTGGCGTCTTGGCCCCACATACCTCTTTGAAGAAGCCATTTCAATGGAAACTCTGGAAGTTATTAACAAACTTGGCCCAAGATATTGTGGTAACTTCCAAGCTGTGCATGTCCAAGGTATGGAGTGTTTTGATTTACAATGTTCTTGCTGATATTAGTTTTTAAATGGACATCCAGTTATTTGTAGCAGATTTGCAGAGAATAAGCTCAGCGTTAAAGTCAGTCATTAGGGAAGACCTCTGTAATTGTATCATTATATATTTACAACCCAAGAGAAAATGTCACAGAAAAGGAAATGACAATATCTTTAGATTTCAACTCCAAAGCCCTAATGGGGAAGAGGTGGGTTGGGCAATACCATCAGCAAAGAAAGAGAGAAGAGAATGAGATAAATAAGTTACATTGCTTTTAATGAAGAAGCTTTTTAACTAAAGTATACTGTTGACTTCAATTATTAAACAGGCAGACAAAACATCCACATTTTCATTATTGATTGTTGTTATTCAAGCAGGGAGCATTGTTCTCTGTGCTCTGTCAAGTCAAAGGGGTCAGCTCCCATCTGGAAAGAATGATAAATGAATCTATGTCAGCAGCCTGTATGTGCTGAAGGGCGATTGAGTGCTCTTGAGCATTTCTGTCTCCAGGCCCATGATGTCTTTGAATTTCATTTCCTGTGGCAAATGGCACTGGCCAGAGCAATGGGACGAGGTCAGGTCTAGAGCCAAAGTCTTACCAATTCTATATTCATGGCACCTTTCTCTACTAGCACATTGGGTATCATTGACTTAGAGACCAGTATGTTAATTCAAACTGGGGTGTTTGCCGTGGCTGTGCAGCTCATTGAAAATTAGACATTTCAGATCAGCCTATTTCAAGTCAGGTTTCTTGTCACTTAAGAGTTTGGTTTTAGGGAATGAGGTTATATACTTTACAGATGTTTTAAGCTCTGGTAGTTTCGCACCTGGAGTGCATCTATTTCATGGTAAGACAAATCTTGGGAGAGTTCGCCACAGTTTTCTTTTTTTCTTCCTCTTCCTCCTCCTCCTCCTCCTCCTCTTCTTCTTCTTCTTCTTCTTCTTCTTCTTCTTCTTCTTCTTCTTCTTCTTTCTTCTTCTTTCTTCTTTCTTTCTTCTTCTTCTCCTTCTTCTTCTTCTTCTTCTTCTTCTTCTTCTTCTTCTTCTTCTTCTTCTTCTTCTTCTTCTTCTTCTTCTTCTTCTTCTTCTTCTTCTTCTCCTTCTCCTTCTCCTTCTCCTTCTCCTTCTCCTTCTCCTTCTCCTTTTCCTTCTTCTTCTTCGACAGAGTCTCACTCTGTCACCCAGACTGGAGTGCAATGTCATGATCTGGGCCCACTGCAACCTCTGCCTCCCCGGTTCAAGCCATTCTCCTGCCTCAGCCTGCCAAGTAGCTGGGACTACAGGCATGCGCCACCATGCCCAGCTGATTTTTTGTACTTTTAGTAGAGACGAGATTTCACCATGTTGGCTAGACTGGTCTCGAAATCCTGACCTCAAGTGATCTGCCTGTCTTGGCCTCCCAAAGTGCTGGGATTACAGGCATGAGCCACCATGCCCAGCCCACGGTTTTCTATAACTATCAGAGAAGAGGGGAAAACAAATGACATGCAAACATACAATGTGCAAAAACATGCAATGTGACAACATACAAACATCCTCTCAATGATTACTTTGCTGTGTGACAGAGATATTAAATTGTATGAGGATTAATTTCCTGCTCTGTAAAGTTAGACTAGAAATGTTTAAAGATGTGTTGTTACAGGGGAGGACCTGGACAGTGAAGCCACGCCCTTTGTTGCAGAAGAAAGAGTTTCTTTTGGACTTCACATAGCCAGCTCCTCTATCACCAGTGTAGCGGACATCAGAAATGCTTACAATGAGGTGGACAGCCGCCTGATCGCCAAAGAGGTACATCTTCTAACTTCGCTGCTAATCTCTGTTGGAATCTGGTTTCATGGTTTGCATTAGCTTTCAGTGCTTAAGTAAACACTATTTCATGTTTGCACTTGTGTAGATGGATACACAAATACATGTTTCCCACTTCATTTGTTAAAATATCCTATGCCTCCCCACCCACTGGTGTCCTCCCAGACTAAGCCTTTCATTTATAATTATTCAGAGAAGAAAAATCATAAATAAAAGAACAAGAACAAATGACATATTTTAAATACCTTTGCAACATTGAAAACACTATTGAGCTTCCCTAGTCCTGGGTATTAATGACCCACTAACACTGAGATATTCTTTGAGTTGTTGTGATTTTTTTAATTTTAATTTTTTATTTTTTTACAGATGGGATCTCTCTATGTTGCCCAGGCTGGTCTTGAACTCCTGGGCTCAAGTGATCCTCCTGCTTCAGCCTCCTGAGTAGTTGGGATTACAGGTGTGATTCACAGCAGCACCCAATATTGCTGTGATTAAAACAACAAACAAACAAATAAAAACAGTAAATTTTCAAAACAACAAGGAGATATGTTTGTAGATGGGGATGCCATTAAATTTACTTCCAATTTTTGCATAAAGAGCTCTTTTGCTTAGCACTGATGAAAATTTGCAATTCGTTTATATTCCTTCACCCTAATGGACAGAGGGTACCCCCAGAGGATGGGGAGTCAGGAACTAGGTCCTGTTGATCATGAAAGTTGTGGCTTAGCAGCAACACACCGCTTTCTGATGTAGGAGTCCAGGATTCCTATCTTCTTGCCCCTTTGACATCTGTAGAGATTGGGCTCCCAGAGCCTGAACAACCCTAGTCTGAGAAGGTGGCAGCCCTCACCTTGGTAGCGCTGTTCCACCTGAAAGTGTCCTTGGGTCCCTCTTGCTCTTCTTAGCACCTCACTGTGAGCACGTGGGACACTGGTGGCTCAGACTGCGTAACTGAAGCTGCTCACTTACAATTCAGCCACAGCTTGGGAGACAGAATGCATGAGCCTGAATTTGGCTTCAATCCCCTGACATTGGTTCAATTGCTATTCATTCCATGATCATTGCTGATGGAGTGTCAGCACTGGGCCAGGCCCCAGAGGGCCTGCCCTCCAGGAGCTCGTGGACAATGCTTCTTCTTTTGCAGGACTTTCTTAGGACTAATTGCTGCTCATTTCTCTAGATGAACATTTCATCCCGTGACAATGCCATGCCCGTGTTCTTGCTGAGGAATTGTGCTGGCCACCTGTCAGGGTCTCTGCGGACCATTGGAGCTGTTGCTGTGGGTCAATTAGGTATGTTCAACTGGGAAGCTTTGCCGCTATTTGGGAAGCAGGGTTTGTGCTGTCATGGCTTGTGCACCCTGGAGTTCTGGAGTGGTGGACAGGATGGAGTGTGCCAGGGAACCAGGGTCGGGAGGACCAGAGTTGGGAGTGAATCCAGCCAGAGAGTTAGTCTCCCAGAAAGCATGAGGATCTGTTCACCTGGCCACATGTGGCAATCAGTGGTGAGCTCAGCTACTAACCAGGCTGCTGTCTGTGACGACAGGAAGCTGTCTATCTAGTGAGTACAGTGGGGCTTTTAAGCAGAAGCACTGGTTGTAGTTGTTTGAGTGAAAACTGCTGGTCACCATTCAATTGAGCAATAGCAAGGCAACAAATTGGTGCAAGTGCCCTGCCCAGCAGGATCTAGAGGACAGGCAAGAGCAATGGGTTGTTAGAGCAATAGGGATACTGAGGCTCAGGGGTCTGGCTCATCCAACACTCTGGAGTGAAGGCAGAGGGCGGCAATCTGAAATACTCTGGGCTGTTCAGCCTTCTGATGGCAAAGAAATGACTTAGCACAGTATCTCCCAGCCATCTAAGACTTTCAGAACCTCCTGCTCTTCCCCCCAGCCTGTCCCAGGTGCACAGGTCCCTCTGGCTGTGGATGGATGGTGGCACTGGTAGCTCATTGGTCCTCCTGTGCTGTCGGGGAATTTCCCATTGCAATGAAGCTGTGACATGTTGATGAAATGCCCACTTTATGCCACACAGGGGTGAGGGTATTCCACTCCAGCCCTGCTGCCAGCAGCCTGGACTTCATTGGCGGGCCTGCCATCCTCCTGGGCCTCATCTCCTTAGCGACAGATGACCATACCATGTATGCGGCTGTGAAAGTTCTGCACTCGGTCCTGACCAGTAATGCCATGTGTGACTTCCTGATGCAACACATCTGTGGGTACCAGGTAATCCCATCCTCCCACCTGGAACTGAGACTCCTGAAAGGGCTGTCATCCCTGGGAAACAGGGACAAGCGTTGCTTGCCTCAGTTGCATTCCCTCCAGGGTGACTTCTAGAGAAGGGCAGCCGAAAGCCCTTGGGTTCTGAGACCAGCAACTTCGCAGCAGAGGAGGGGCAGGCGACAGCCAGCCCAAGAGCTCTGCTCAGGATGAGGATGCTCACCTGATTGTGGCTTCTGGCCCTTTTCACTGACAAATTCTAATGTCATTTGTGGTTGTCTCCCCACCTTGTCTCTAGCATGGTGGCTGAGAGCCCAGGCTGCAGAGCAGACTGCCAGAGTTTAAATCCTATCTCTTCTAATTTGCTATTTAACCTTAGATGAGTTACTTATCCTCTGCCTGTTTCCCCACCTGTAAGATATGGACTGTAATAGGGTTGCAGTGAGGATTAGATGATTTCACACAAGTGAAGAGGTTAGAATTATGTCAGGCCCAGAATGAGTGCTAAGTAAATGTTAGTCATTTCTACTTCTTAATCTCTTTGTGCGTCAGTTCCCTCATGTGTAAAATGGGATTATGAGAGCACCTGTTTTGCAGGGTTGTGATGACTGTGTTTATATGTGTTGAGAGCTTAGAGGAGCACCTGCACACGGGACCTGCTTCGCATGTGTTTACTGTGATTGTCATTGCTATTTAGAATTGGTAAAGTCAGATGAGACATGGCCACTGCCCTTGAGTAACTTCTCACATGTCTGGGAGGCAGCCAGGTGAGGAATTAGGAGGGCAGGGCCAGGGTCGGAGTCTGGGCCATGTCACAGGTCTCAGGCAGTGGAGGCTTCCTCTGGTGTGGGGGCTGCTGGGTGATTGGGGCAAAGCCTCCTGTGTCTCTCGCTACTGGGTCAGGGTTAGAGCAGAAGAGAGCTGTGTGATGGCCTTCTGGGCACTCCCCCTGTCTGTCTGGACTACTGCCACAGCTGGACAGTAACCCCTTCCCCCAGCCTGTCCCTCGTAGCCCACTGATGCCAGCTGTAGCCCACATCACATATCTGGTGGTGTCCCTCCTGTGTGTAAAACCTTCAAAGGCATCTGATTACCGATACCATATCCCAAACTCCCTAGACAGGTTTTCAAAGCCATTCAAAACTGGCCACAGACCTTTCCTTCCAGCCCCATCTCCAACCCAGCCAACATTTCAGCCTATGTTCCCACCTCCCCAAATCCTGCACCTTCTCCAATCATTAAACAGTGTATGACTTTGTGTGCCTGTGGCCTCCGCTCAGAGCACCTCTTTTTTTCTCCCTCAAGCACCCTCCTTCTGTTTTCCAAGATCAAGCTCAAATAGCAAAGGCAGCATTCTCTTCCCCCAGCTGAGCATGTGGCTGTTTCCTGGTCCTCTTGGCACTGTGGGCACATCCCGTTTTAATTGCTCTCGCACCCACACTGGAATGCTCAGTCTACACATCTCTACTGGAATCTTCTAAAGATCCTAAGGTTTTTTACTCTTTGCTGGTGTATTACTGACACCATGAAGACACTCAGTACATGTTTTGGGAATGAGTAAATGGGTATGTCTGAGTTTATGCTAAAACTCAAGAATTGGGGATATTGGTACACAAAGGTTTTCTCTGAATATGCTGTTAAAGATAATAGTAGTAGGATCTATTCTAATACAGCACAAGGATATCTGCTGTGGTTAGGGATTTTAATAATTATTGTGACAATTTCTAAAAAGGCACAAATCATTTCCTGCCCTCATGAGTGTATCTAGAAGGAGAAAATAAAATAAGAACCAAAATAATTTTAATATAAATAAAAATGCAATCGGTGTCCAAGATTCACATCAAGAACTACTACATGCTTTGTGACTCACTGGCTACCTGGCTATCTTCCCAGAAACTCTGAGCTTCTCAGAAAGCTCAGACTACCTCAGGCTCACTGTGGTCTCATTGCCTAGTCCTGGGGATGGTGGGTGGGCGCGGTGAGCTCTCAGTGAGGGTTCAGAAATGAGAACATTGCCTTGAGAGGAGGAACTATCTACCACAGAGGTACATAGCGCCTGCTGTCACATGTAGGTAGAGGGGTCAAAAAGGGTTTTGTTAAAAAAGGAAGCTCATCAAGAGGTTTCCTGGAGACTGAGCTGACTGAGCTTTCCAGGAAGAGATGGTAGAGACAAGGAGTGGCCCAAGGATGTAATCTCTTTACTCAACTTAATTGATCAAATGCTTCCTAAGACCAGGCACTGTGCTAGGCACTAGGGATGTGAGGTGAACAAGGTGGGTTTAGTCCCTGTTTTCATGGGACTTACCATCCAAGAAGGTGGACAGAAAAATACTGTTAGCATGAGGGAGAGTCTCTCAGATACCTCCTTTGAGTAAAGAACTCATCAGATTCAGAGGTTTATTGTACACTTACACATGAAGGCAGAATAAGGAAAATTTAAAACTGTTATTCTGTCTTTAAAAAGGAAACATTTCAAATATTTATGTCTTTGGGGAAAATCAGAAGGAGAAGCTGCGTGGCAAGAGAGGTGGTAAATGGCAGGTTTGAGTGAAGAAATAGTATTATTTTGTTTTTGCTTTTGTTTTTTTAAACTTTCTTGTCCACTCTTTATAAAATGCAACCTCCATCCTCCCTCATCCTTTTCTAGGCACGTTTTCTCGCTTTGTGTTTCTTTGTAACCTGCATGTGCATTTGCGTGATGTCTGCTTCCGTATTGCCACGTTTGTGTCTGTTTCACCCCCAGGCACATGCTTCATAAGAGCGTGTGTCCGGCTTGTTTATTGCTGTACCCTAAGAACATGCCATAGATAGTAGGTGCTCAGTTAGGATTGAGGAATGAATCCGTGAATGAAAACAGGGGTCTTCAATTAAGTGGCTTGCTCAGGAGTGGATTTCATCAGTTTTTAGGTTTTACTCTAGGCTCATCTGCTGGTTTACTGGTTGGGTGGGAGAGCATAAACCTTCCTATCTGTTATTTCTGTCTAGCTGATTTATCAGCCTCTTCTCAGACTAAGCAATAGCCAGCTGAGTTTTATAGGATGGGTGTTCTTAATATGGGGAAAGAGGAGGATACTGTTCCAGACTAACATTAAAACACTTCCAGGAGCTGGTCTGGGTTCCTCCACACGGCTAGGAGGAGAGGATGGTTGTGGAGCTGTGCATGGCATACCGAATGGAGGGTAGGGAGCCATAGCCTTACCACTGTGGGGAACGTAGGTTCTGCCTCACAGGTGATGGGCAATTGCAGGAAGGCCGGGACAGGGAAACGGACTGACAGAGGTGTTAGAACACCCCTTGACGTCAGTGGAGAAGATGAGGCATGGGGATGAGGTTCAAGCAGGGGCTGAGATAGAATCTGACCTAATAGGAGCCTGTGTTCCTGACCTGGGGAGTCTCAGGATCTGTGAGCAGCCTGGGCAGGTGGCGCTGGAAAGGAGCCAGGGCGGTCCAGCAGGCCGCCGACAGGAAGGAAGGGAGATGCTGGGACATGCTCAGTGGGAAATGTTTGTGAGACATTGAAGGTGAAGTATCATGTGGGAGAGAAGGCTCTGGAGCTCAGGGACAGGCTGTGCTGGAGGTGTAAATATGAGGGTCATCGCCACCATGATGATATTTAATCTAAGGAAATTGATGAAATCACCAAAAAGAAGCTGTACAGAGAGAAGAAGGTTGAGGGGGAAACAAAGAGGAGCTAACCACATGGAGCTGGGAATATAATTAAAACCCAGTAAAGGAGATTGAGAAGCAAGAGGGAAGAAAAATCAAAGACAGTTATGTCAAGGAATCTGAAAAAAGAACGTGTTTTGAGAAGGCGGGTATGGTCAAACCATGTTAAATGCTGATAAAGAATAGCACAAACAAAGGATGGAGGCGTCCTCTTTGGATTTGGCCACCTGGAAGTCCCTGGTGGCCTTTCTGAGGGAGGTAGCCAGGTGGAGGCAGTGGCTGGCTGATGCAGGTTGAAAAGAGAATGTCAGGTAAGGACATGGAGCCAGGGTGTGTTGATAATGCTTTCTAGAAGTTTGCCTATGAGCAGGAGGAGCTGCATAAAGCTACAGGGATTAGGGATGGAGGGAGGGTTATTTTTACAATGAGAAATACTAGAATATATTTGTACATAGGAGGAAGAGATCCAGGGTTGGGGCAGTGGAAGCTTGGAGAGAACAGTTATCTCAAAGAGCAGTGTCCTTGAGATGGTGACCAGTAGGATCCAGAGACCAGGTAGATCGGAGACTCTGCTTGTGACAGGAAGGAATGCAACACGTTTGTTAATTTGGTGGTGGGAAAAAAGAATATTCATATCTGATGGGTTCTATCTTTTCAGCAAAATATGAGGTCAGGTGGGGGAGAGGAAGAGAGGTTAGAGGAGAGAGGAGAAGCAATGAAACCATGATCTTTAGGATAAGAAAATATAGCTTATTAGAAGGACAGAGTTGGATTGCCAGAACTGACTGAGTGTCAGTTTGACATTTGACACTGTTTGATGTAAAGTGAAGCCAGTCAGCCTGAATGTTTTCACATGCAACTTTTAGCCATCCTAATTTTGTCTTGCTGTGGGATTTCATATATGTGTGTGTCTGTATATATATATATATATATATATATATATATACATATATATATACACACACATGAATAGTCTGGAAAGATATTGAGTCTTTTCTGATCACAAACAAGGCTTCCGAAGGGCACGTTGCAAGAACATGTCTGGGAGGACAGGGAGAAAGGGCGGGCTGTGTTGGAGCCATTGATGGGGAATGGAGCCATGGATGGAAGGAGCTGAGACTCCAGATTAGGTCGCTCAAGGCTCATATGCCAATGGATGGCTGGGCAGACTGACTCGTGTGGGGCTGCAGTCAACAGAGATGTGAGGCTTGGTGGGACCCATCTTCTTAGTCTGAGACAAGCTGGGTCACCAAATGTATGCTGGGACCCAAGTGCCTCCATGCTGGGATGGATGCTTCATGTTGCTGGCTTCCCAGGGGCTGGTGCAACTGACAGGCACATCTGGCTGGGTGCAGCCAGGCTCATGGGCAGGTGGTAGCTTCCCATAAATGCAGCATTTATGGGATGGTTACGCATGTAAAGGACCCAGTAACAGAAAATGAGAATGAGGCTTGAGGAGTGTGGGAGGAAACCAGGAGAGAGTGGCATTCTGGAAACATGGAAAAGATGCAGGGAAAAGTAAGAGTCCCAGTGAGAAGTCAGGTCATAGCACAGAAAAGTGGCCACAGAAGTTGATGTGTATTTTTCTTCTGAGAACATGGAATGAAGGATGGTAGCAGCAGAGAGCAGAAGGTTTGCAGACTGGACTGGGACAAGTGGGTGAAGGGGAAATCTCTAATGATGCATTCATGAGGAAACTGCTTTGTGTTAACCTTTTCAGATAATGGCGTTTCTCCTGAGGAAGAAGGCCTCTCTCCTGAACCATCGAATTTTTCAGCTGATCCTCTCAGTGGCTGGCACTGTGGAGCTGGGCTTCAGGTCATCTGCTATCACCAACACTGGTGTCTTCCAGCACATCCTCTGCAATTTCGAGGTAAATCAGAGATTGGCCCTTAGTCCTTCAGGAGTGTGTGTGATGGTAAATATGCTAAGTCTGGGCTTTCCCCTAAACCTAGCATGTCAGCTTCCCTCATAGTCATGATGGTAGGGAGAGGGAAAACCAAACGAGCCTGCCCAGAGGCCCTGGTTTGTAATGACATGTGCCACCTATGGACTGAGTGGCTTCGGACAAATCTCTTGACCTCTCTGAGCCCCACTCTTTTTCTTGGGTGAAGTGGAGACCTTCATCTCCTTGCAGGCTGTCATGAGGGTTAAGCCAGATAGTATCTGGGAAAGGATTTTTAAACTATAAATTGGCATATACATATGAGGGTAAAGAAAAATGATCTCAGTTCCTTTGGGTGGTGCTTTGCTGTTTCCAAATGATTCTTGAAAGGGGTGAGTTAAGGGATGCAGAAGGACACGCCTGAGGCTGAGGAGCATCGCACACAACTGCTGTGGGTGGATCAACCCATTCATGAAGCATCATTTACTGAGCACCCTCTGGGTCAGGTACTGGCCATGTCCTGGAGACACAGTGAAAACTAGAACCCAGCCCTTCCCCACAGCCAGATGGGACTGGGACATAGCCAATGTAACACTGCAAATGCTAGGTGCTTCAGTGAGACAGGCACAGGGCATCTGGGGAGTGGGAGTGAGCAGGCAGTCAGAATTCAGGGGGAAAATAACCTTCCAGGTGGAGTGTATATGCTATTTGCAAATACTGTACATCAGAGTGAGAGCAGCCATGGGGACTTGAGAGCAAGTGGCTTGTTGGGGGCCTACAGGTTTGTGTTGGTTGCAAGAGCAGGAGAGAGAGAAGGCAGGCCCAAGGGGTTAGACTGCCCAGACTACACTTTAGCCTGGGCATGTGGAGGTCCTCAGGAGAAGTTTCAAAGCTCTTTCTTTGTTTATTAAGAAATTGATATATGTTTATTATAGAATATTTTTTAATTAGAGAAAAATGTGAGGGGGAAACTCTCCTATTACCAAGACCTAGTTAATTCTTGTCAAACCTGGATGCATTCTCTTACAGTATTTTCAATGTATAATACATTTTTAAAATCATAGTCATGATTATACTGTAGGTTATTTTGAGTCTAGTCTTTGCTCACATACCAAAAACATTTAAACATTTTCATTACAAACACAAGCACTGTTTTGAGATCAGAATAATATTCTGTTATGCTGAGAGTTCCTGGTTTCTTCATCATTTCTCTATTGCCAAATTTTTAGATTCTTTCTATATTTTGTTATAAATTGTGTTATAGATGGGACTTTTGTGCTGATATTTCTCTCACTTTTAAAAACATTTTCTTAGAATAAATTATCAAAATTAATAATGAGAATAAAGGCATTATGAACAATTTTTAGATTGTTGATAAGTTTTACCAAACTTTTGATATCTAGGGATGTTAACTGTAGAATGATATGTGAGAATTTTATTTTAGGTATGTGACTTCGGTGACAAGAGCTCTGAAGCAGGGAGATGGGTCATGAGATGATTGAAGAAATCTGGGTAGAGGATTTTGAAACCTAAACTGAGGCAAGGGTAGTGGGATAATGAGGACAGCAGGTGAAAAAGTCGAACTTGAACCAGAAGTGACTTAGAGACACATGACAAGGGAAATACTACATATCAAAACACCACAGGGCTGCTACTGAAGGCAGGACCAGAGGGAGACTGACAGTCATCAATATGTATATTATAAAAAGAGAATACTCTTTGTATAATATAGATCAAGATTCGGTTCAACGTCTAACTTCTAACTTAAGATCAAGAAGTTAGAATGACCAAACAAAATCAAAACGCAGAGAAAGAAGGAAGGAAACATATAAATGAGAACATAAATTAATAAAATAGGAAAAAAAAACATACAGAGGATCAACAAGGCCAATTACTGTTTCTCCTAAAACAGACAAACGTCTGTTAAGATTGGCCAAGAAAAGAAGACAGAAGCCACAAATAAATAATATTAGGAAGGAAAAGGGGAGAATACCACAGAAGAATGAGCAATTAGAAAGGAAAGAGACAATTGGATTAGTAATTTTGTGCCAGTAAATTAGAAAACTTAGTTCATTTGAACAATCTCATCGAAAATGTAAGTTTTCAGAGCGCACTCTAAAATGAATAAAAAACCCCAATGATCCTAGAATCATCAAGTAAAGTGAGTCACTGGTTTAAAATCTGTTGACATAAACAACAACCAGAAGGGAACGCCAGGCTGGGCACTCATAGGGAAATTCCACCAGTCAGGAAATAGGTTCTTTCTAGCTTCTTTAACGAGCTAATCTTGATGGCAGAACACAAAAGGACAGAACAGAAAATGAAAAAGTACAGGCTAATCTTATTTGTAAATATAGGCATAAGAGCCCTAAATATGAGATTAGCCAGTTGAACCAGGCCAAGATGAATGTCCTGGTCCTGGATCTGAAGCTGGAAAAGAGGATTGTGGAGGAAGCCAGCATGGCCTGGAGAATGGGCTCCCTGTGCACAAGGGGAAAGAAGATGTACATAAATGGCCATAAAACCCCACTAAATAAGATAATGTGTCTTGACTGCAACCGCTGCTGCCCCTTCTGAAGTGCTGTGGCCATGCTCAGCCAGTCTGGCTCCAAGGTGTCCTGGCCACCAGCATGGCCCAGGAATTACTAATGCAGGAACCCATCATGCTCCATTGCCTGCTACTAGAATGGCCATGGACACCACCCTACCCCACCCCACCCTGAATAAAACTACCCTCTTCAGGAGATCTGGTGCTTTTAAAGCTGGATTTAAGAAAATAAACCACCAATAAGAACCAGATGCTAAAAAGCAAAGCAAAGTGAAACAAAATGAAATGAAACAAAATAAAATTTAAAAGATTGAGGGGAGAGAATTTCAAAAAGGGAAAAATGTTTCCCAAATGTCATGTTCTGCCTACACCAAGTAAAGTGAGGTAAGGGATGTGTGCACTGTACGTGCCCATTGGAGGTCACTGACAGACTTAGTGACAAGTAAGTTGTGGGGTCAGAAGCCACTCAGAAGTAAGGAGAAACGGCCGGGCTTGGTGGCTCATGGCTGTAATCCCAGCACGAAGAGGCCGAGGCGGGTGGATCGTGAGGTCAGGGGTTCGGTACCAGCCTGGCCAACATGGTGAAACCCTGTCTCTACTAAAAATACAAAAATTAGGTGGGCATAGTTGCGGGCGCCTGTAATCCCAGCTAGTCGGGAGGCTGAGGCAGGAGAATCACTTGAACCCATAAGGGGGAGGTTGCAGTGAGCCGAGATCATGCCATTGCATTCCAGCCTGGGCGACAAGAGCGAGACTTCGTCTCAAACAAACAAACAAAGAATTAAGGGGAAGTGTGGGGAGACTGAAAGTGGAGGCAGTCAGTGGACTTTGGAAAATAGCAGAGAGGAAGTTTCAGAACTTTTGGTTTTGGGTTTTTGTTTTTTGTTTTTTTTTGAGACAGAGTCTCACTCTGTTGCCAGACCGGAGTGCAGTGGCACAATCTCGGCTCACAGCAACCTCTGTCTCATGGGTTCAAGTGATTCTCCTGCCTCAGCCTCTCGAGTAGCTGGGACTATAGGCATGTGCCACCACGCCCAGCTAATTTTTGTATTTGTAGTAGAGACGGGGTTTCACCATGTTGGTCAGGATGGTCTTGATCTCTTGATCTCATGATCCGCCCACCTTGGCCTTCCAAAGCCCTGGGATTACAAGCGTGAGCCACCGCGCCCAGCCGGTTTCGTGTTTTAAGATGGAAGAGACTTAAGTCTGTTTGTAGGTTGAAGGAGAAGACGCAGTAAAAACCAGACAGTTAAAATAGTAGTGGGAGAAGAAACTGCTAATGAGACACATCCTCAGAGGGTTTGGAGACAAGAGAGTGGATCACAGGAGAAACGGTGGGATCCGTGATGACTGGTGTGAAGCAGACAGGAAGAGGAAGTTGTGAGGAAGGGAGAGACAGGAAGTCATTGAGAAGGGAATGGACAGGAAGCTGTGAGGGAGGGTGGGTACAGGAGATTGTTGAAGCAGGGAGGGACAAAAATTTGTGAGGGAAGGAGGGACAGGAGGTTGTGAGGGAAGGAGGGACAGGAAGCTGTTGAGGCAAGGTTGGACAGGAAGTTGTAAGACAGAGTTGGATAGGAAGTTGTAAGGCAGGGTTGGACAGAAAGTTGAGAATCAGGGAGGAACAGGAAGTTGTGGGCTTCTAAGTCTTAGGTTTTGGTTTCTTTCTTTCTTTCTTTCTTTCTTTCTTTCTTTCTTTCTTTCTTTCTTTCATTCTTTCTTTTTTTTTTTTTTTGTTTTGAGATGAGGTCTCACTCTGTTGCCCAGGCTGGAGGGCAGTGGTGCGATCTCAGCTCACTGCAACCTCTGACTCCCAGGTTCAAGTAATTCTCCTGCCTCAGCCTCCCAAGTAGCTGGGATTACAGGCACGTGCCACCACATAAGGCTCATTTTTTTATATTTAGTAGAGAAGGGATTTCACCATATTGGTCAGGCTGGTCTTGAACTCCTGACCTCAGATGGTCCACCCACCTCGGCCTCCCAAAGTTCTGGGATTATAGGCATGAGCCACCATACCCAGCCTCTGGTTTCTTAAAGAAGGAACTGACTAGTTCATTTCTAAGAGTACAGTCATCTCAGGGGTGGGGAGAGAGCAACACCTGACACATTATACAGTCCATACTCAAACAAATCTAATCCAGACATCTTAATATAGTCCTTAGTACAGGCTTATGTGACACAGAATAACAATCAAAAGATTCAGTTATTCATGTTTCCCAAAATTCTGACATTTGGCATTATGTAATTTCCTGATGAGCTAGGCAGCCTCAAATGGGTGTGGCAACTTATTATTGTTGCTGTGTTCTGGAAAGGAAATGTGAGAGGCTGGAACTTTTGTGGGAAGTGTAAAAGGTGCACCTTATTGTACTGGTGGGTTCACATCTGACTTTCTTAGTTCTCTCAGCCCTTAGCCCCAGGCCTGGCATATCATTTGTTGAATGACTGCCTTCATGAATCAATATCCTAAGTGTGCAGGGCTCTTGGAGCCCTACAGACATGTATGTTGGGGTGCCATGCTGGATACCCATGTTTTCACTAGAGCTGCCTTCATCAATACCAGCTGTCCCAAATGGCAGCTGGCCCACCTCTGTGTGTGCCTTTGGGCAGTGGCTGTGCTTAAAAAAGCAGGAAATCTGTCACTCTTTTCCTGGCGGAAGAACAATCCACTCATTTTATTTTATTTTGTATCCACTCATTCTTTTAAAAAATGTAATGCATCTTTACGAAAGATAGTGGCATGTATGATGCTAGGTTCCAGGGATTAAAGAGGGACAGTCTCTACCTTCACAGGCCTCCCGATAAACTTGTGTTCACTGGGGTTCTTTTGCATTTCCTCTTCAGCAAGAGTAAGCAAAGTCATGGGTAACTGCTTAGCTTCAAGCAAGGTTGAGTATTGACCCTATGGGTCACTATCTGTAGGTGATACCCATGGGTACCCAGTGTGGGGCAAGGGAATGGGCTTCGTAGTCAGGTGGATTGACTTTGAAAACAGTCTCTGCCAATTAAAAAAAAAGTCTGGTGCCAGAAAAGTTACTTAGTCTCCCTGAGTCCCATTCTTTCTAGCTACTAGATGCAGATAATAGGCCGGGTACGGTGGCTCACACCTGTAATCCTAGCAATTTTGGAGGTGGAGGCAGGAGGAACACTTGAGCCCAAGAATTAGAGACTAGCCTGGGCAGTAAAACAATACCCCACTCTACAAAAAAATTTTAACAATTAGCTAGGCATGGTGGTGCAAACCTGTAGTTCTAACTACTTGCAAAGCTGTGGTGGGAGAATTGCTTGAGCCCAGGAAGTCAAGGCTGCAGTGAGTCATATTTGGGCCACTGCGCTCCAGCTTGGGTCTCTCAAAAATAAGAAAATAAATACATAAATGCGGATAATAATATTTTGGGTCTTTTTATGGCACCTCTTGCCACCAGGAAATGTATCAGTTATTAAGTGCAAGCTCTTTTTGCTGCTATATGAGTGCACGCTTATAATCCCACACCTGAACCTTGTATAGTCTGGGCCTTAGGAACTGTCAGTATTTAGAGAAGAAAAATATTAGAGTTCTCTAAAGGGAAGTAGAAATAAGACATGATGGCATCCATCAATTCTGCCCCAGAAGGATCACTAGCAGCTACATTTGTTTACTATGAATGAAAACAACCTGAGTGATCAACTTCACTTTCAGAATCTCAGTGAATTTCATATCTTTGTTTCACTTACAATTTTGTCATGCATGAGATGACACTGTGGTTTGGGCTGAAGAATGTGTTGCCTGCGCAAATTGGGTATGTAGTCAGTACAGTGTAAAACCTGAAAATCTGTACCTGGCTTCTATTTCCTGTCCTGCCACTTGCTGGTGGTGAGTGGAGACTGTCACTCAGCTGGTCTGTCTCAGCCTCTATTTTCTCATCTGTAAAGTGGGAACATCATCATTTGTCTTGCAGGATCCAGGGAGGTTGAGATGAGTTTGCAATATGGACACTTGGGCTGTGGGCCCAAGGCTGAGCAGATGGGGGAGATGGTTAGTGCAGGCGTCCTTGGTTGGAACCAGGCCCACAATGAAGTGCCAAGTAGCAGCAGAGATGGCGAGAGAAGGCCTTCCTACAGGGGAGGCACCTCTCTGCTTGGAGTGTCAGGACAGCTGATCTGATTCCAGAGCTGGTACATCATGTTGATGATTCCACGTCAGAGGATCACCTGTCCAGCACTGACCTTCTCATGCTTCCTGCAAATCATTCTTCTCCCACACCTTCATTTTAGCATGTGTTTTGTTTTGTCTTCCAGCTCTGGATGAATACTGCAGACAATCTGGAGCTCAGCCTCTTTTCCCATCTTTTGGAAATCCTTCAATCACCAAGGTAGGCTGGGTCTTGGCAGCCTGGGGGTTAGAACTGAAGGCTGAATGTCCAGAACAGAGACAGGGCAGGGTGGCCAGTGGCTCTTCCCTGCTCCCAGAACACTGGGTCCCCAAATGGGAGCACATCCTTCCCAGTGGCTCATGCTTGTGGGGCAGTCTCCTCTCATGGTCTCGGGCCTCAGGAGGGCAGATGCTGGGGGCTTAGAGGCCTCTCTAGCCCCAGGGACTAGCACATACTGGGGGCTCAGCAATTGTGACCAGCAAAGGTCCACTCTCCCTCTAACTGACTTCTCCAAGGCACTTTTGGAATTAGTCAGGGCTCTTTTACCCTTCAAGTGGTAGAAATACAACTCAAACCAGCTTAAGGGATGTAAAAGAGAAGGAAAGAAGGAAGGGAGGAGGGAAAAAAGAATACAGGAAGAAAAGACCAGTAAAGAGGGACTTCGTTGGCTCTTACAATTGAAAAGAGCTGATCTCATCCTGTAGCTGGGGGAGGCTCACATCATTTTCTCTGAGCTCTGTCACCACTCTTGCCTCTGCCTCTTCCACTCAGTCTTCAGGTTGCCCGGGCTTTCTTCTGTGGCAGAAGGTGGCTCCTGGGCAGCTCCTCAGAGCACATCCTCAGCTTAGCACCATAGGCAGAGAGACAGCTTTTTAAAAATTTAACAGTCTTAGCTATTGGACTGAGTCTCATTGAGCCAACTGTGTCCCATGACTGGGCTGGAAAGTGGCTTCCCCTCTGGAGTTAGAAAGTGGTAGTTCCCAAAGGGAGCCAGGGGCTGTGTTCAGAATAAGAGAGAAGGAAGGCAAGGAAGCCCACATATCACCCCACCTGCCTCCTCCTGGCTCAGGCTGGTCTAGAGCTCATTGGTGCCTTCAGCATTTTGAATGTATTTGTAAATGGCTTTCCACTCATCCACTTAATGAACATCTATTATAAACTTACTACATTTCGCACCCTGTACTTAGAGGTAAAATTCAGAGAAGAATAAGCCACAGTCTGATAAAAAGAGAATACAGAAAAACATGTTGTTCAGTGCTGTCAGAGGAAACAGAACCAAGGGCAGCCGGGACTTCTGGGTAGAGGAGCATCTGTCTTCTCTGCTGAGCCTGTAATTATAAATCATACACAGAATTGGGCTCTGGTCCTGCCTCTTTTGTGTATCAGGGAGATGGAGCTCAGCAGAATTTAATGTGTTAATACAAAAAAAAAAAAAAAAAAAAGACAGTTCAAAGTGAGGAATCTGCCCAAAGTCACCCTCCTCCACATTTTTCTCCACCATTTTTTCTCTTCCACTTTCCACTTTGTTCCTGTACCTGTACCAGTTGTTTTCTAAGAAACAGATATTTATCCTGGGAGCTGTTTTCTTTGGGGGAGTAGAATTTACTGGAAATTGGATTTGTGAGTATCTGAGGGAGGGGGTATGGATAGGTGGATTCTGTCTTTTTCTCCTTTGACTTTCAGTGGCGTGTCTCTCCACTTTGTGGTTTGGGGCGGGCAGGAAGATCACACAACCAGACAAGCTAGTGAAGGGCCCTGCACTCCTGGCTGGTGGGAAGTACTCCCCAGTCACATGAGTGTCTGCTGTCTTTGTTTGAGTTTCTGAGGCCAGCACTAGTTTTCCCTGGGGCTCAGAATTTAAAAGTCAATAATTGGGGTTTGTCTTTGAAGGTGGTTTCCGGGGGGCGGAGGGGACAGGCAGTGCACACCCGAGCGACTCTGGCACTTAGCAGACACATATTCAATGGGTGTCTGACGGCATCTTGACAAATTGCCAAGAGAGCATTGGAGTTAAGGGGCCATGGAACAAGCCTGGCTTGAAAAACCTTTTTAGCAGAAACACAGCAAATTTGGTTCATTCCAGTAAAAGCTTTTACTGTCTCTCTCCTGTACTCACCAGGGAAGGACCCAGGAATGCTGAAGCTGCCCACCAGGCACAGCTTATACCCAAGCTCATCTTCCTATTCAATGAGCCGAGCCTCATCCCCTCCAAGATCTCCACCATCATTGGCATCCTGGCCTGTCAGCTGAGGGGCCACTTCAGCACCCAGGACTTGCTCAGGTACCACACCAAGCTGCCCAGGGGGAAGAGCAGGGCCCCAGGGCTGTTTAAAAAGGGAGGACAGACCCCAGCTCTCTCCCCATTGTGCTCAACCCTGAATCACTTGGAACCTTCTAGGAATTTTTGCCCAGGGCTGAGAGTTGGGGAAAGGATGGTTTGCTGAAGTCAGGATGGGACAGGCCGGTTTCCCCAGCAGGGCTGTGTGTTTACTGTTCCCACTGCTCAGGCTCCCCCACTGTGGCCAAATATTCAGGAATTTCCATAAGCACTGCCATCCTTGCCAGCCAATGACCCACATGCCTGGCTCCTGCAGACTCCTGAAGAGCAGTCCCAGCCACCAGTGTGTTTCCCCTTCTCTTTCCTGTCACTATCTAATTGATCAGGTAGAGCCAGAGTTAGCGTCTCTGGTGAATCCTGACTGATTTTAGAAGTCTCTGGAAATACACAGCATGCCATGATGATTTCCCTTAAACTCTCACTTGCAGCTGCACGTGGGTGGGTCTATGTGAAAACACTGGCATGTACTCAGCGGACTCAGTTGAGCCCGCCTGCGAGCCTGTCCTTCTCTCCCTGTGTATAAAGGATTGGGCTGTTTGTTGTGTACACCCTCAAGCCTTCGTCGGTGAATGAGAGGCAGATCTGCATGGACGGAGCCCTGGACCCTTCCCTGCCTGGTGAGAAGACCTTTGCCAGTTCGAAGGCAGTAGGACGGCCCTCACGGAACCCCTGAGAGGCCCACATTGTGCAGAGGGAGGGGCTAAGTAAGGAAGGGGAAGGCACCCACAGCCAAGCCGTGGTTTCCAAGCCGTGGCCTGTGAGGCTGTCATTTTATGATGAGAGTCAGAAATGAAATAAAATTATAGATTCCTGCTTTGAAATGTGGGACTGGTGTTCCAGGCCTCCAGAATAAAATCAGTTCCCTGTAGACCAGCATGTGGGATCCGGGATCCTGCCTCACTTCCTGGTTGAACCCCCACTACCCCTTACTTTCCTGATGAGCCCCAACTCCAGCAGTGAAGCACTTGCAGGCCCCTGCAGGTGATGGCCTGCCCTCTGTCCGTGCTTGGCACGTGCTCTTCACTCAAGGGAAATGCCACCCCTCCCCCACTAGCCAAGCTGTCCCCAGTCCCACCAAACCAGATTAAGTCACTTTCTCTGTGTTTCCAAAGCCCCTTGGGGTTACCCTACTGAATAGATTTGTAGTTTGTTTATGTGAGTCTCCCTTTTCGCCTAGCCAGGTGCAGAACTGCAGCTGTGTCTTGTTCAATTTGTTCCCTCTGCTAGGGCAGTGTGATGGCAGCAATCACAACTGCTTTGTCCTGGGCCCTGCGGCTCTGCACTGTCCAAGACGAGAGCCCCTAAGCCACATATAGCCATTTAAATTCAAATTTTAACTAATTAAAATTAAATGCAATTAAAAACTTAATTCCTCACTCACTGTAGCCACGTTTTAAGTGCTCACTAGCTACCTGAGGCTAGCGGCTACTCTATTGGACAAGGTAGATATAAAACAGTTTTATCATCACAAAAGAGTCTCCTGGATAGCATTTTTTAATCTAGATAAAGTATTATCTCTTATCCTTAGATCAAGCCGCAAGAAATTACTATTCCCATTTTGCAGACTAAGAAATTTAGGTTCAATGAGATTAGGAGCTAATTGAAGATGGGACCAAAATCTGAATAGACGGAAATATGACTCCATTTCCCCAGGTTGCCTCATCAGTCCTATTTCTACAGTATGGCGTGGTGTATGCCCTGTATTGGTGTGAAATTGCTGGCAACTGAGGGAATGAACAAATGGGTAATGGGCCAAGAGTGAACTTATTTAGTCAACCTTCCTTCTCATATGAACTGCATTCTGAAACTTTTACCTAACCAACATATTAAAGCATTGTTAATATGTCCTTTTGGGCTTTAATGACTCTTCAGAAGTAAAGTTTCTTCTTCCCCTTGCTCCATATACCTCTGCTATGATTTGAGTTCTGTTTTTATTGTAGCATAGACATCCAAAAGCCTAGCCTGGGAGCAAGTTGAAAGCAGGAACAAAGAGAACAAAGACCATGGTCTTCAGCACTCTGTTCCTGATTACTTGCATAATATCAGTGCATAGTAGGTGATTATGAAATGTTGCAGCCTATAATAATTTAAAAAATTCTTCTACTGAAAGGTATATTTTCCTTTATTATTTTTAGGATTTTTGTTTTTTGGAAGATGTGCAGCATTGCAGACATTGCTAATTAAAGGAAACTTCAGTAACATTTTCTGAAATTCTTTTTAAGCATTGTGTGGAGGCTGGAATAAAATGCCAAAATTTTGAGTCCCAGCCATGCCACAATTCCTGGGTGAAATAAGCATTTGGTGAATATGATTGCTTACTGCAGCAAATATTATGTCTCTTTACATCCATTTTCTCTCAAATCTGAATTCTTTTTTGTAGCTGGAAGCCAAACATCTGGAAAGACAATCTGGCTCAGAAACCAGTTGCTGGAGATGCTGCTCAGTGTAATATCTTCCCCCCAGCTTCATCTGTCCTCTGAGTAAGTAGCTCCAGGAAGAGCAATTTGGCAGGAGGTTACCTCATACAGGGTGTGGCATTAAACCTTTTCTTAATGAAAAGTTTAGCATCTCTGAGTCTGTTTTCTGCAATGTATTTCCTGCACTAGTCAGAAAGAAAATTATATTCTCTCTACCCAATGAACCAGACCTTGCCCTAAGATATTCTGATGCAAATGTTAAGTGGACATGAGTAACTAGAAACAGATTTGGTATAATTACAATAAACTCCTTTTGTCACCATAGCTATAGTGTAATTGTTATTGTTTTGGCAGTTGTGACAATTACTGATTTTGATGTCTTGTACTTGGCAGACAATAGAATGAAGAAATCGTGAGCCTAAATAACATCTATCAAGGAAAAGTCTTGCCAAATTCTTCTGCTATTTACTGTTAGTGAGTTTGTTATTTTTCCAAGTTGGAAAAAGAAGTATCTACCGTCAATTAACTTCTAAAATCAAGTGTAATCATAAAGCTGATTCCATTAACTCTCCCCACTGCCTGCCTGCTTTACCTCCAACCTTGGAGTCGTTCATTTGACACCTAATTTGTTGAGCATCTACTGCATGCCAGACACTGTTCCCAGCTCCTAGGATGCAGTGCTGAGCAAGTCAGCCCGGATCCTTGCTCAACCTGTATATGCATCTGGGCTTGGGGGTAAAGAGTTACCCCTCAGTAAAGCAGCTTTATAAATAGTGTTTAATAATTTACCAGCCTATAAATCCTTTCTTTCTTAGAATCAAAACATGGTAGAACTGGAAGATGCCTTGGAAATGAGATAGTCCAGCCACTTTCTTTTCCATCTTTTTGAAAGGGAATGTAGTGCAGTGCCTAACAGCTGGGCTCTGGCATCTATACCTTCCGGGTTCGAATCCTAGCCCTGTCCCCAGGGACCCAGAGGAGGCTACTTAAGCCCTGTATGCCTCTCTCTACTCATCTGCATGAGAATAAAAATTGTATTATGTTGGTGAAAATGTAATTGTGTTTTTTTCATTACTTTTAATGCCAAAAACTGCCAATATTTTTGCACCAACCTAATACTTTCAATAGGTGAGTATAGTAAAGATGAAATGAATTAATATATGGATAATCCTGAGAATGGTGCCTGGAATACTGTAAATTCTCTGTAAGCTAATTGCTATTATGGCCATCTCTTTCATCATCACCATCACCACCACCATCACCATTACCACCACCATCATCACCATCACCATCATCACCATCACCATCACCACCACCATCATCACCACCACCACCACATTAATCACCATCACCACCACCACCATCATCACCATCATCACCACAACATTAATCGCCATCACCACCATCATCACCATCACCATCATCACCATCACCCTCACCACCATCACCATCATCACCACATTAATCACCATCATCACCACATTAATCACCATCACCACCAACAGCATCATCACCATCATCACCACAACATTAATCACCATCACCACCACCACCATCAGCATCTTCACCACCAGCATCACCATCACCACCATCATAACCACTACCACCATCAACATCATCACCATCACCACCAGCATCACCATCACCATAATCACCACCACCATCATCAACATCATCAACATCACCACCACCATCAACATCATCACTGTCACCACCACCACCATCATCATCATCACCACCAACATCACCACAACGTTAATCACTATCACCACCACCACCATCAACATCATCACCATCATTATCAACATAATCACTGAGGAAAATGATCAGAGCACATCAGGAGCTCTGCCAAAGTCATCCAGTTGCTAAACATCAGAGGCAGGGCTAGAAAAGAGGACAGCCTCTTCTCTTCACTCCTAGTCCAGTGCTCATTTCAGTGGATACCAGCCAGATTCTCACTATGCCTAGTGTGTCAGCTGAGAACACAGGTGGAGCCTTCACTTGTTCCCAAAAGTCTGGGTCCTTTGCTGAACCCAGTGTCTTTGGCCAACCCATTGGCCATTCATCTCCCTGCCCTCCTGTTTCATCCAGGTCCCATCAGCAAGTCTGTATTCTCCAGACTCATCATTTTTGAAAGTGACGTTAATCATGTTTCTTTTTTTTTGGTGCTAAAACTGATAAAAATGCATAAATATTGAACTATGCCATTTAGATAAATTTTGACTAGTGTCTTTAAAAAGGGAGGGGAATATTCATTATGTGTTTTATGTGACTACATTGATGGTAATTAAATTAGATGGGTGGCTAGTCATCCACTGTGTAAGTATGAATAGTAGTTATATAGGGCTATTAAGGGGCATGCGCATTTTTACCTATATGAATACACAGTTTCCAATTGCTTCAAAATGCTGTGGCCAACTTACACTGCAACCATTAATAGACAAATGCATCATTTGCACAACAATCTTGCCAGCATTTTATTTTACTATTCTTTTTAAATGTAATACATAATAAGTGATGTTAACCTTAACTTGCCTCTCCTTGGTGACTTGTAAGGCTGGACATTTCATATTTTCTGGACATGTCACTCGCTCATGGACTGAGAGAACATTGGTTGCATTTATTAATCCCCAGGTCAAAGGAAGAGATGTTTCTGAAACTGGGGCCTGACTGGTTCCTGCTGCTCCTGCAGGGCCACCTGCATGCCAGCACCACTGTGCTGGCATTGAAGCTGCTGCTGTACTTTCTGGCAAGCCCCTCCCTCCGCACACGGTTTAGAGATGGCCTGTGTGCAGGATCCTGGGTGGAACGCAGCACTGAGGGCGTGGATATTGTAATGGGTGAGCACGTGGCTGTCTCCAGGGAGTGGGGCACCACCTAGTCCTGGGATGTGAATGAGGACCAAGCCAGGCCCCTTCTTATTTGAGACCATCACAGCTCTGTGCAGCAGGATCACCTCGAGCCCTGACTCCAAGGCCTACATCCAAATGAGCCCAGCCCCCCTGACATCCTTTGCAGGATCCCCCGCAGCCTCACTGCACAGACACTGGAGGCTGCCTTCCATTCCTCCCACCTGCTTAGCCCTGTTCTCCTGGGCACTGTATACTCTGCTTCCTCTTCCTGAGGGGATGCCTCTTCTCCTGATGTGGATTCATCCTGAGATCTCAGTTCAAATGCCACTTCCTCCAGGAGATGAGGGGTCTCCCTGAATTGGGACACCTCTGTTATATTATCTCTGCCCTTATTATTTTTCTCTTTAGTGCTTCACAAAATTCATAATTATTTGAGTATTTAATTGCTTAATGTCTGTCCCTCCCACTACAATGCAAGCTTCATGAGTGCCTGGAATTCTGTATATTTGGTTGAAACCCTACACCCTTGTTGCCTAATTCAAAGCTGCCCTGTTGCCTCCTACATGGTGGGCAGCAAGTATGTTTTTGAGTGAATGAATGAGCATGTCAGGAACAGCAAAGGGAACTACTGTTGAGTGCCTTTTTGCTCCCATCTATGTGTGAATATATTTTATCATCCAGCATTTCTATGGGATGGGTGGGTGGCCGGGTGTTCCTTTGTGTGTCCAGGCCCCACCTTGACCAGCAGCTGTTCTCAGCTGACTTTTGTGCCCCCTTTGCCTGATCAATAGACAACCTGAAGAGCCAGTCACCACTGCCTGAGCAAAGCCCATGCCTGCTTCCTGGGTTCCGTGTCTTGAATGACTTTCTGGCCCACCACGTCCACATTCCAGAGGTCTACCTCATCGTCTCCACCTTCTTCCTGCAGACACCACTCACAGAGCTGATGGACGGGCCCAAAGTAGGTTTTCAGAGCACCCACAGGGTGACACACTTGGTTTTCTGATTCCACATGACTAAGGCAGGTCGCCAAGACCCTCTGCACTTACCTCCCTCTGCTTCTTCCAGCTCAGATGGGGTGCTGGCCCACTTCCCTCCCTAGCAGCCCACACCCTTGGCCAGCCCTTCAAATGCTCCCCTTCCAGGCCCTTGACTTCCTCGGCCTCTGCTCCCATCCTTCCTCCCAGCAAGTCTCTGATTTGGATCAGTTCTATTTTAAAACCTTCCTTTTGGGCACAGCTAGGGGAATGACATGATGCTGGGGTGGCCCTGCCCCAGCACCCCAGCCCCTCATCCTCAACCACCCACTTAGGTCATCATCTTCTTGCCCCTGTTGCTAGGACAGGGAGACTTTTCAAGGCTGGTCATGGATTCCTTCAGCTCCTTCCTTGGGTGACCTCATCCCATAGTTATCCTTTCTTTCTTTCTTTTCTTTTTTTTTTGTTTTTTTTGTTTTTTTTTGAGACAGAGTCTTACTGTGTTACCCTGGGAGAGTGCAGTGGCGTGATCTCGGCTCACTGCAACCGCTGCTTTCTGGGTTCAAGCGATTCTCCCACCTCAGCCTCCCAAGTAGCTGGGATTACAGGTATCCACCACCATGCCTGGTGAATTTTTGTGTTTTTAGTACAGACAGGGATTTTCCAAGTTGGCCAGGCTGGTCTCAAACTCCTGACCTCAGGTGATCCACCCTCCTTGGCCTCCCAAAGTGCTGGGATTACAGGCGTGACCCACCGCACCCGGCCCCCTTTCTTCCTTTTGTATTTTCAGTTTTTCCTTTTCTACCAACCCGTTCCTCATAAGCCATAATTATGTTCAGCTGCATCCCACCTAAAACCAGAGGCTGCCCCTTGATAACACTCCTGACCAAATGCTGCCTATTGATCACTTTCCTATCCTTCCTTGGCCACATTTCTCCAAAGAGGAGTCTGTGCTCACCGTATGCACCTTCTCCCTTGCACTAAATTCAGGTGACTTTCACACCTGCAGCATCAAGGTCAGACTCCATAGCTGGCACCAAGCCCCCTCATCTCTGGCTGCCTGATGTATCTTTCCAACCCAGCTGCAATTCACCCGCCCTCAGCTGTGAGTCTCCTAAATCATCTTCAGTAAGACTGGCTGCTCTGTGCTCACCCACCCTGCTGCCCTTACTCACTCCTCTTTCCCACCATCGTCTGCCTGGTGGGAGTGTCCTCCCTCAGCACTCAGCTTAGATGCTACTTCCTACTTAGACCCCCAGACAGAGGAGACCATTTCCTCCTTTGTGCCTCAGTGTAGTTTACCCTATATGGATGGCACCAATACAAATGTGTGCCTGCCTCCTTAGAAACTGAGCCCCTGAAGAACGGACCCACCTTTCACTCAACTTCCTGGAACCTGACAAATAGCCAACTTAGAAACTATTTCTTGGTCTCAATCGAGTTGAGTTAAACCTAACTGAATTGAAATATGGGAGGGGCGTGGCTTTGCCAAGAGAAGGTTAAAAAATCTACCCCTCTTGTATATCTTTATAATTGACAAATCTAAATATTGACATATGCTAATAGCATTGTATATTACACTTCAAAATAAAGTTTTTAATATGCTGTACTAAGGTCATTGATACCCTGAGTTTTTATTTCTCTAACATATCTCAGGAAACAGATGTCTGCTAAGTGTTGGAACTTGTGATAGATGTTTTACATATTTTATTTTGCTTGATATTTAAACAATCCCATGGGGTAGATAATGTAATTCTCATTTCACAGAGACGGGAAATGAACTGCCAAGAAGCTCAATAGCTTGCCTGAGCTCAGCTATTAAAAAGGCAGAATCAGGCCATCCTGATTCTAAACCCTAAGTTTAGAATCTCTCTATACCTCTACATGCTGAAGTTTCCCCTGAAACCTTTGAATTCTTTATATGTCTTATATAATCTAATTTACAAAAGTTAATTAAAGTTGATTAGCATATTTACTTATGATGTCAGACCAAAATAACTGAACTACATGCCAGTCTCTAGGGGATCTTCAGCACCTTCTTGGAGGTGCTTGTTTCCCTTATGCACCATCTACTGGGGTGAAATTGTTCCTATGGATCAACCACCTAGGCTGCCAGTGTGCTCTTTTGCTTTTCCCACTGGGAACCCCTGGAAACATGATGAACTGGCTGCAAAGCTCGTTCTCTTGGTGAGTAGCCGCAGGTCTGCTTACAGCTCCTGCCTCCTCTTCCAGGACAGCCTTGATGCCATGCTTCAGTGGCTCCTGCAGAGGCACCACCAGGAAGAAGTCCTCCAGGCTGGGCTGTGCACAGAAGGTGCCTTGCTCCTCCTGGAAATGCTGAAGGCCACCATGAGCCAGGTGAGACCCATTCCCCACATGCTGCCCCGAGGAGGTTCTGATGGGAAGGCCAGTTTGGAAGGGTCACCTTGACTTTTCTCTTAGCATCTTCCCACTAATGCAAGTAATTAGCCAGATCCTGTAGAAGAGGTGAGGTAAGTTCCTAGAGTGACTCAGGGGCACAACTGGAAACCCAGCCTATAGGTCTCTGAGCTTTATGTGCTCTTGCAGGTGATACCTGTTTATCATTTGTTTAAGCATGGGATTTCTTCACTGGAAGATTTATTGCCTTCAGTCAAAGGGAACATTTCTTAGGAGGAGGAAGGGCCTCTCCTCTCAACGAGTCCATCTCCTCGCTCATGAGTGACCTGGGGAAGGGACCTGACTTAGAGAAGGCAGATGGCCGCCAGCTACAGGCAGGGCATGGAGTCTTCGGGAGTGAGAAGCCTTTAATTTGAGCCTTCAAGGTCCAGTAGAGGTGGGTGGTGAGCAGAAGAGTTATTTTAGACATTGGGTAGAGGCCATGTGACTTGTGAACAGGAATAATTAATGGTAAGCCAGGTCAGGGAGGGTTTCCAGAAAAGGCTGAAAAATTCTGACTTCATCCTGTAGGCACCAAAGGCAATTGGAGGCCTGATTGTATGGGGAAACTTACTGCTTTTGTAAAATGATACATGATTACCTTTAACATTTAAACAAAAGGGAAAAACAGAAAGTAAACAACACCCACCTGACACACACCCACCCAAAAATGAGCACTGTGAATTTGGTGGAATCTTTCCAGATACTTCTCCAAGATTCGACCATATCCTCACAGAGGATGAGACCACATGTACCCCTTTTGCCTTTTTTTCCTCAATATTTGTGGACCTCTTCTCATGCAAATAAAGTGAAAAAACATGGTAATCATTTGTATTTGTAATGGAAATTGATGTTGTTTTACAGAGTGTTGTTTGTAATGAACTTTCTTAAACAAATATCTTTCTTTCTGTCTTGATGACCTCTTTAGTGTATTCTGGGATGTAGTATAGCAGGTCAAAGTGTGCCTTCAGGCGTTTTCTTTTGGATGTACTTCTCAGAAAGATTGCATTAGTCATTATGCATACACATCCCACCAGCAAATATCTAACTCCTTATCTTGTTCAGAAGGACTCAGCCCCATCCTCACAGCCTCAACATCATGGCCAAACTGATGATGGCTTCATAGTTGAGTTCTTTTGCATTTATTATTTCTGAGGTTGAAATCATTTTTCATATGTTTATTAGCTATCTTTATTTATTTTCCTCTCTCTCTATTTTCCTGTCAATTGCCTGATTATATCTTTTGCCAGTTTTTCTGGGTGTGTGGGATTATGCTGAGAAAGTAGAGATCCCACTTTTTGCCCTTTTTGAAACAGATTTTTTTTTTCTTTTTTGAGACAGGGTCTTGCTCTGTTGCCCAGGCTGGAGTGCAGTGGTGTGATTTCAGCTCACTCTAGCCTCTGCTTCTCAGGCTCGGATGATTCTCCCACCTCAGCCACCCGAGTAGCTGACACCACAGGTGTGCACCACCAATGCCCAGCTAATTTTTGTATTTTTGTAGAGACGGGGATTCATCATGTTGGCCAGGCTCAGAAGTGTTTTTATCGTTATTATTAGATACCCTTTTAGCACACAGTTAGATAATCCTATGCTTTTTTTTTTTCTTTTAGCCAGTTTCCTATGATGAATTACATCAATAGATTTCTTTGCATTCTTTCAAAGACCTCATTTAGTCACTCTGTCCTTATTCTGTTTGTATTTTCTTTATGATTTCATGCATCCTATAAATGATATTAGTCTGCAATTTAGTTTTTGTTGAAAAATATTTTTCAGGTTTTGACATCAGTATTATGCTAATATTATATAAAAAAGACTTCTCTCCTTTCTTTGTATTCAGCAAGACGTTAAATCCATGATTTTTATATTATTTTAATTGTTCCTATGAAATTGCCTGGACCTAAATTTGTCCCATTATTATTGGCTTGTTTAGGCTTTTAAATGTCTTCTTGACCTAGTTTAGTTAATTAATATTTTAAAATAATTTCCCATTCATTTAATTTGCACAAATGGTCTCCTTTAACTCATGTCATTTTCTGTGTGATTGTTTCTCCCTTCGTATTCTCAGTTTGTGTCCTGCTTTCTCCTTCTTGGACTCTCTTGTGACTTAGGAGTTGAAGGCTTGTGGATTTATATAAATAACCAGCTCTTGGGTACATTTATCAGTCTCCTGATTTTATTTCTGTCAATTTCTAAGATTTTGATTTTGGCGTCTTCATTTTTTGTTATGTTCTGGAATTTCTGTGACTGTAGTGTTAAAGCTCTCTTTGATTCACATTTTCTAATGTCCATGTGGTGAAGATTTTTGGTTTTTAAACTTTTGTTCTCTATTTCTAGTTATGTTTTGGCCCTGCTCAGATCATGTGATCTGTATATTTTTCATCTTCAAGAAATTTATTCATGGTTTTATTGTAGGCCTAATGAGCAATTAATTTAGGGGTACCTGAAAAGATGTATATTTTCTGTATGGAGCATAAGGAATCTGTTACCTGTTTAATCAATTAATGTTATTCAAAATAAAGCAAACAAAAGGAATCACATGCAAGCATTTAAAACAAAGAAAATATGTAATATGCTGAGAGAAGTAAAAATATAAGACCAAACATGTATGTCATAACAGCAAACATAAAAAGGTTAAATTTCTATATTAAAGATGTGAATTTTAGACTTGGTGAAAAACAAGACTCAGACTTCTAAGATCTAACATGTATGTATATACAACAATAACAAAGTTACTCAGTGAGTTTGGTACAATCAAGATCTGTGTCAGGAAAGCATCATCTACCCAATACAGTAGACAAGTATCAAAAATAAAAGGCAGAAACTTAAAAGATAAGAGAAAAAGGCTAGGGGTAAACATAGAACCTACTTCAGAGGGTTGTTGTGGGGTGAGAAGAGGCATATGTATGAAGCCCTTACAACGTCTGCACATATTAAACCCTTCCTCAATTGGACACTAGTGTCTGGTGCTAATCTGCAGTCTTAAATAATGTATCTTGTTGAAAGTCTCAGGAAGGAATCTTCTCCCTAGACCTCAGCTCCTCTGGTTAGGGAGGCAGCGCCCATCATGCTGCCCTGCACTACCTCTCACCAAGTGTGCCTCAGCCCCTGGCAGGTTCTGAGGATGGTGCCTGGGCACAGACCTTCCCGGCCAGCGTGCTGCAGTTCCTCAGCCTCGTCCACCGCACCTACCCCCAGGACCCAGCGTGGCGAGCCCCGGAGTTCCTCCAGACCTTGGCCATAGCCGCCTTCCCCCTGGGAGCCCAAAAGGTAGGACATGCTGCTGTCCCACCCAGAGAGAGCAGTTGTGAGCATCATCATCCTTCAAGGGCAAAGGGCAAAATCCCTCCCCTCCCCCCTAAAATTAAAATACATTTTAAGGCAACTTGAGCGGAACATTGAATAAGCAGCTTGGATAACCATCCTTTTTTGGCTGAGATACACCTTGAGGTCATTTTCAGCTCTGAGATTCAATAATTTTTTTGAGCTGTTAAGAATCTCAGTAATGAGAAGTCTAATGGCAGATAAAGTCCATTGTCTGTGGCATACACAGGCACTGACAAGGGGAGACAGTGACTCCCATTCCAGGAAGTCTGCTGCTGTGCACCACATGGGGGAGGGCAGTCCTGGGAGTGCATCCTGCAAAAACTTTTGCTCTTGGGAACCCTCATCCAACTTGCAGGCCCCTGGGCCATGACTTGTGTGCCCTTCTAGGCAGTGGGTTTGCAGAGGCCCAGCTTAGAGCCAGACAAGCCAAGGGGAGGGCAGAGCCTGATTTAAGGATGAGGTCTTGGGTCTTATGCTCTGGGGGTTAGAGAAGGGGCTATGGGAAGACATGTGAGTTTGAGGCCTCCAGCTAGGCCCAGCAGGTCAAAGCTTGGCTGGGTCAGGGCCGTGTGGGACTCAGGTAGGCTAAGACCTCCTGGGAGCTGGGAAGCGAGAAGGAGGTGAGGACTAAAGAAGAAGGTCAGGTATGGAAGAAGGAAGGGCAGAAATTCACACAACCACCCCCACTCTGGTGGATTAGGAAGTGGAGACCCAGTGAGGGCAAGTGAGCTAACCGTGTCTTCCTGCAAGTTGCCAACTGTAGCTAAAGGAGCATATTTGAAAGGTGAGCAATGCTACATAGGGGGGTTTATAATCCATGCCAAGTGTGATGCCAGGCCTGGAGTGGTTGCTCCATAAACATTTGCTAAGTGCCCAAATGAATGAGCAACATGCTCTCTTAGCTAATCTTTTCCAGAAGCATACCCATGGCGGCAGCCTCCATCTCCTGAAACTGGTGCTTTAGAAAACCTGAATTGCCACCTGATGAAGGTGGTGTCTGAGAGGGGAAGCTGAGATTCAGAGAGGCAAAGTGGCACTCACCAGTTTCCTCCAGGCTCACTGAGGGTCACAAAACCCATCTCCCAGATTGATTGCAAGAATGAAATGTACTGAACTTCATGCGATTAACAAGAGACGGAGCCAAAGTTTAAATCTCACTCTTACCCCAAAGCCTTGTCCTTTTCATTACAGTCAGTTTAAAATAAAATTAAATGGCCAAATAAACTTTAAAAGTAGTTTTAATAAAAAGACTAAATATAAAGACCAGAAGTTTCACAAAAAGATAACATAGTTTTGAAATAGTTTGATGAATTCATATCAAGTAACTTACTAAAAAAGTAAGATAAAAAAGCAAACAAGAGTGAAGGAATGCAGCGTTGTTTGCAGGAGAGAGGTGGGATAGGACCCACAGCCAGAGGCGCAGGCAGCCTGGCCAGGGAGAGATCAAGGGCGAGCCTACAGGCTCCCCCTCGACACTTCCCTGGGCAGGTTTTCTGCAGGGGTCCAGCGGCCTAACATTCTCTACCCAGATGCCCAGCTCAGCCCCCATGCCCAAGGGCCAGGCTCGCCATCTGCTGAGTCGGGGCTCCAGCCGAGTGCCCCCGCCAGCAGCCCAGGTGCACACTCTGACCCAGGGCTCCTGCTCCCCATGGTCAGCAGTTCCTGCCCAGGGGAGGGTCTGGCCCAGAGTCACATCCCCAGCTGATCGCGGGCGAGGTCGGGCTTTTGTCTTGGGGCTCCTGGCTCTAATTCCAAGGTGTACCTCCCAGCCATCCTTGCCTTTTTCAGCGCTCCAAGTCAGCTCTGCCAAGGCCTTTGTTGTATAGAAAACATGCCAGACCCTCTTCATGCAGAAGGCTGGTGGCCAAAGGCTTGGATTTGCTGTGAATTTATATGGCATCTTTCCAATCAAGGCCGCACGGAGCTAATTAATGCAGTCACTACCTCCCTAGGTGCCATTAAATTCATTTTATGGCTTAATTAAGAACGGCCGCATTAATTTTATGAATGAGCAAAGGGAGGTGCTAACAGATGAATGCGCAGGAGAAGTTCACGGGCTGGGAGTCAGGAGTCCCTGGCCGCGTGTCCTTGGGTGAGTCATTCAGCCTCCAGCATCTCTGTGTCCTCCTGGACGTATCTGGGGTAATGACCCCTGTCTCGTTGATCTCCCAACATTTTATAAATATAAAACAAAATAGTGGATGCCAAAGTGCTTCAGAAATTAGAGGAAAGAACTCTTTGGAGTCCCACTTCTCCACCGTTCTTGCCTGAGGAGCCTGTCTGTGGGCATCAGCAGAGACTGGGCAGGAGGTAGAGGTGGGGTCCCCATCACAAGATGGGCACCGACTCTCTCTGACTGTCTACCAGGGGCTGGGCATTGCCACGTTCGTTATTCTCTCATGTCATTCTCCCAGATCCGGTGTCAGATGGTTTTTATTGTCTCTATTTAACCGATGGGGAGCTGTGGCTTGGAGATGTGAAGCAGCTTGCTCCTGGCACATTCTGGAGTTCATCATGAACACTGCAGGCCTCTCTGACTCTGTGGTTTAGCTTCTTTGCACAACACTTGGCATCTCATATTCTCAAACAGTAGCAGGCCACTTTATGAGCAGCTGGATCCTGGGCAAGTTGCTTTCCTGTGCGGAGCCTCAATTTCCGTACATGTCACTGGGCATGACAATAATCCGCCCATGTACATGGCACAGGTTGGTGGGAAAGAGCTTGAGGCAGGGCAGGCCACTCATGTTGGGGTTCTCTTGTCTTTGAGGGGGTTGGGGCTGAGTCCACCCGGAACACCAGCAGTCCTGAGGCCGCAGCTGAAGGCGACAGCACAGTGGAGGGTCTCCAGGCTCCCACCAAGGCACATCCCGCCCGGAGGAAGCTGAGGGAGTTCACGCAGCTCCTCTTGAGGGAGCTCCTGCTTGGAGCCTCCAGCCCCAAGCAGTGGCTGCCCCTGGAGGTGCTCCTGGAGGTGGGTTGGAAAAGGTGACATTGGGCCATGTGCTGTGGAGGCTGCCGGCATACCGGCACTGCAAGGGCAGGATGCACCCAGGGAGACAGAGGGCCTGGGGGCCACAGCGAGTGAAGGGGAATCTGTGAACCATGGGCCCCAAAAAAGCAACAGGTGATAGAGGAGTGAGCACAGAGTCCCTAGAAGCAGAGCCTGAGGTGGGAGTTTTGTGGAAGTGAGTTATTGGCCAGTGGGTTGGAGGCGGTGTTCTCAGGAGAAGCAGGGAGGGAAGCAGAGGGGCAGGAGGTGAAGCTAGCCCAGAGGTGGTCCCAGCTGGAGCCTGGCCCAAGGGGGGTTCTGGGGTGCTCTCTGCCTCCCAGGGCCGGCCCCACCTGTGGCACCTGACAGGTGGCCGTGGGCTGTGGGCTCCCCTGACTTGCCTCCTTACCCTCGGAAGTGGGCGTTGCTTCCTGGATGAGGCAGCTCAGTCACAGAGGGTGGGCCCCCAGAGAAGGGAAAATTGTGAGCAGCCCACACTGCTGGCAGATGCGGCATAAGTGTCCCAGCCAGGCTAGGGAGGCGGTGGGCACTGGGTGCACACGATGGCCCTGTGGTTGCTGTCTCAGTCCCGGGCTGTGCTTCCAGGCTTCTCCAGACCACGCCACCAGCCAACAGAAGCGAGACTTCCAGTCCGAGGTCCTGCTTTCTGCTATGGAACTATTCCACATGACAAGTGGAGGTGATGCAGCGATGTTCAGAGGTGAGTGGGGCAACTCGGTCCCCTCCATTCATGACATGAGGCTGCTGACAGTGGAGAGGAAACCAGCATGCTGGCCAGGAACTGACCCTAGCTGTGGGATGCTGCCTCCACCTGGCGTCAGTCCCTCCAGGCATCATCAACAAGAACTCCCTGGCTCCTGCCTTGGGGCCCAGTGGAGGGGTGCTTGCTACTTTCCATGACACCCTTGTCATGCTGTGCCACTTACAGACAGAAAGCCCTTTTGCCTCTAAGCAAAAATCGGCTCTCCTGTAGCCTCAGTAGAAATGCAACCTCTTCCCATAAGGGAAACCAAGATACCACAATTTAACCTTCCGTGCTCAGCATTCTGCCTGGGTACGGGATAGGTGCACAGCTGATGTTTCTTAAACAATGAACCTGGATGAAGATGCTGCCATGCCCCTTCAGAGCTTAAAATTGAAGGTTCATTCAAAAAACTTGGTTCCAGGGCAGCTGTACCTTTTCAACAAGCCTAAACAAAAGCCTTTTCTGTGGTTCCCAAGCCACAGGAATCCCTAGGAACATGAGTCCTACTCTGGACTTCTCCTTGCCTCCTACTCAGAAGCCCTGACTTCATGATCCTTCTCATGGAGAGACTGGAATGCAGGAGAGTAGCAGGGTGGTGAAGTGTGGGTTTGGCAATCCCAGTTCTGGACTTGGCTCTGCCACTGGACAGTCATGCGACCCTAGTCAGGTGCCTGGACCTGTGAGTAAGGACGACAGTCGTGGTGAACTCACAGGGTTGTGCTAGGGGTTAGTTGAGATCATCACACACATGGCTGAGCACAGTACCTGCTGTGTTGGTGAGCATAGATGGATAATGACAGTATGGCTTTATCCTCTGCCTAGTGTAGCAGCAGGGCCCCTGGTCATCATGATGCCTGCTCATTTGTCTCAAGCAGCACATTCTCCCCCATCCTCCTCCAAAAAGCCACAGGAAGAAATGCTTCACCTTGCTTGCTTTCTCACCACTTGGTTTATGTCGCTGACCAGATTACTCAAGATCTGTTCATTTTGATTAAATGTGTGTGTGTTGGGCACCTCGTCAGTACAAGACTCCATCTTTGGAACCATGGGGTACACAGAGGTGAATAAGATGCAGTTGGTCACTACAGGGGGCTTGGAGATTGTCATGGACAGAAGTCCATTTAGACTCTCACCTCCACCTGTCCCCTCACTCCACAGACGGCAAAGAGCCTCAGCCAAGTGCAGAAGCTGCTGCTGCCCCTTCTCTTGCCAACATCTCCTGCTTCACCCAGAAGCTGGTGGAGAAGCTGTACAGTGGGATGTTCTCGGCAGACCCCAGGCATATCCTCCTCTTCATCCTGGAGCACATCATGGTGGTAAGAGCTGCTCACTGACCGGGTATCTGTGTGGATCTGAATGATGTGCTCCTGGCTATTGTCCAGTTGGTTCCACTGGATCTGCCCTCCCTCCCTGGAGTAGAATCTGAGCCAGGTGGGAGGAAGCAGGAGGCCCTTTAGTCCCAGGTAATACCTGGAGGCTACTGCATGTCCAGCAGGGCTCTCACCTCAGGCCCCCTGAGCCCAGTCCCAGGGATTGGAAGCCTCAGCTCCCTGCACTTGCACCTGAGCTCTGTAAACTCCTAGAACCTGCTTCCTTCCCTTTGGGTTTTTATTGTGATTGTTGGTTTGACCTTAATTGTTATTATACCTCCTCAGCTAAGAAAGGACCACAAAGGCCTTTGTCTTCACAAGACCTATTTTATTTTCTTCTTTAATACTCACTCTGTTGTATTTGTGCCTTCCTGCAGTGGAGACAGGCATCTATTTTAACCTTGTCTTTTTATTCTTGCCTGTGCCCTTTCTTTCCAGATAAACAGGTATAGTTACATACCTACCTGTACAAATGCATACCTGTAGGGCCATCATTGAATGTAGGTGTATGTATGTGCATGCATATACACACAGAGAGAATCGTACAATCTCAAAATTCCAGCATTGAAAGAGACCTTTTTTTTTTTTAGATCTCAGCCCCATTACAAGCTAGAGACTTTTCCTGACAAGCCTCCAGGAAACCTTTGCTCAAACCCTCCCTGTGATGGGGAACCCCCTAAAATTCAAGTTGTCCCACCCAGGGGGATGTCTGTGATTCTTGGAAAGAACTTTCTGTTATCAAGCTGGGATCTACCTCCAGCAACTCCTGCCAGCAGTCCTGGTTATGCCCTCTGCAGCAGAATTAGGAGGACCACTCTCCTTCCTCTTCACATCTCATAGAGAGTGAAATTGGCTCCCAGCACCCTTCTGACTGCAGAGTCACCCACAGACCTCAGGACTGGGCCTCTTCACAGTTTCTAGAGCCATCTTCACTTGTCTGATGAGCAGGTCCAAGCAAACCTGGAAAGACTTGAATTCAAAGGCTTCTTCAGGAACAACTCCAAGAGAGGAGAAATAGCCCTTGTCAGCTCTGTGAGGGTTAAAATCAGATTCCTGGCAAGTTGTGTTGTAAATGGAAAGAAGCTGCTGAGCTCCCTATGGCTAAAGCATGGACTCCCAGCTAATATCCCAAACATAGGTGCCAGTGGGGGCCACCGTGCTTTCAGGGGGACCAGGCCTGAGGGCTCGGCTCCCCACATATCCACCAGCCTCCTCTCTTGCTTGCTGTCTGTGATGCCTGCCCCTCTTAACCTCTGTTTGAGACCCATCTGAGGAGCAGGAGAGGAACATGATAAAGAAATGAATCCCAAACCCCAACAGGTTTAAACAGACCTTCACTTCATGAGTAGAAACATTGCGTTACCTGTGAAATTCTAAGGGAGTAGCCTATAACAAATTCATTTTCTATCGGACTGAAAAACTTTGTGCATACTCTTTGTATTATGGATTCTTTTCATGGAAGCCAAACAGATGTTTGGAGATGTATGGACCAGTCCATGCTAAGGCTACAAATCAGGGTCTTCTACTTCTCCCTCTAAGTTTCTTTTGAATTAAAATCTTCTGGACTCCGTCTCCAGTAGATGATATGGTGGTTAAGAGCGTGGCTTAAGTGTCCAGTGTGTGTTTGACCCTTGCTGAACCACCCAGCCTCTCTGACCCTTAGCCTCTTATCCGTACAGTGGGGTAACTTAGCGTCTATGGTGTTTTTATGACAAACAGGCAATATATGCAAATCTGTGCAAAATGCTTAGCATAATACCTGGAATACTATAAGTATTCTATGATAACCATTAATAATGACACATAGCTATTTTTTAAATTAGATACTACTAATAGCATGTTCTCATACATTGAATGTCAATCATGTTACCATTATTTCAGAAATCTCGGGTCACCAAATCTATTTTCTGTAATATGACTGTAACAAACTTTCAACTTTTTTTAACACAAATTTTCACCCAAATTCTGCATAGCCTTGATTGATCATTTCCTTAAATAGAGGCTTGAAAGTAGAGGAAATGAGTCCTATTAGAATTTCAGGTCATGTCAATTTTTTTTTAAAAGACAAAGTTCCTGCCCTGTCTTCCAGGTTGGAGTGCAGTGGCATGATGGAGTGCAGTTCACCTCAGCCTCGAAATCCTGGGCTCAAGCAATCCTCCCATCTCAGCCTCCAAGTAGCTAGGACTACAGACATGTACCACCTTGCCTGGATAAATTTTTTTTTAACTTTTTGGAAAGATAGGGTCTTACTATGTTGCTGCCCAGACTGGTCTTGAACACCTGTCCTCAAGAGATCTTCTTATCTTGGTCTCCTAAAGTGCTAGCAGTACAGATGTGAGCCACCATACCCAGCCATGTCACTTTTATTTTTATTTCCAAGTTCCAGGGTACATGTGCAGGATGTGCAGGTTTGTTACATAGGTAAATGTGTGTCACAGTGGTTTGCTGCACCTATCAATGCATCACCTAGGTATTAAGCCCAGCATGAATTAGCCATTTTTCCTAATGCTCTCCCTCTCCCCACCCCACCCACTGACAGGCCCCAGTGTGTGTTGTTCCTCTCCCTGTATCCATGTGTTCTCATTGTTCAGCTCACACTTTAAGTGAGAACATGTGGTATTTAGTTTTTTGTTCTTGTGTTAGTTTGCTGAGGATAATGGCTTCCATCTCCATCCATGTCACTGCAAAGGACATGATCTCATTCCTTTTTATGGCTCATAGTATTCCATGGTATATATACACCATATTTTCTTTATCCAATCTATCATTGATAGACATTTGGGTTGATTCCATGTCTTTGCTATTGTGAATAGTGCTGCAATGAACATACGCGTGCATGTATTTTTGTAACAGGATAATTTATGTTCCTTTGGGTATATACCCAGTAATGGGATTGCTGGGTCAAATGGTGTTTCTAGTTCTAGATCTTTAAGGAATCACCACATCGTCTTCCATGATGGTTGAACAAATTTACATTCCCAACAGTGTAAAAGTGTTCCTATTGCTCTGCAACCTCACCCCATCTGTTGTTTCTTGACTTTTTAATAATCGCCATTCTGACTGGCATGAGATAGTATCTCATTGTGGTTTTGATTTGTATTTCTTGAATGATCAGTGATATGGCACTTTTTTTTTCATATATTTGTTGGCCACCTGAATGTCTTCTTTGGAGAAATGTCTGTTCATGTCCTTTGCTCATTTTTAATGGGGTCGTTTGGTTTTTTCTTATAAATTTGTTAAGTTCCCTGTAGATTCTGGATATTAGACCTTTGTTAGATGGATAGATTCCAAAAATTTTCTCCTACTCTATAGGTTACCTGTTTGCTCTGATGATAGTTTATTTTGCTGTGCAGAAGCTCTTTAGTTTAACTAGATCCCATTGTCAATTTTTGCTTTTGTTGCAACTGCTTTTGACATTTTCGTCATGAAATCTTTGCCTATGCCTATGTCCTGAATGGTATTGCCTAGATTTTCTTCGAGAGGTTTTATAGTTTTGGGTTTTACATTTAAGTCTTTAATCCATCTTGAGTTAATTTTCATATAAGGTATAACGAAGGGGTCCAGTTTCGATTTTCTGTGTACGTCTAGCCAGTTCTCCCAGCACCATTTATTAAATAGGGAATTATTTCCCCATTGCTTGTTTTTGTCAGGTTTGTCGAAGATCAGATGGTTGTAGATGTGTGGTCTTATATCTGAGTTCTCTATTCTGTTCTATTGGTCTATGCGTCTGTTTTTGTACCAATTCTGTACAAAAACAGTACACTGTTTGGTAACTGTAGTCTCATAGTATAGTTTGAAGTCAGGTAGCATGATGCCTCCAGCTTTGTTTTTTTTGCTTTGGATTGTCTTGGCTATATGAGCTCTTTTTTGGCTCCATATGAATTTTAAAATAGTTTCTTCTAATTCTGTGAAGAATATCAATGGTAGTTTAATGGGAATAGCATTGAATCTATAAATTACTTTGGGCGGTAAGCCATGTCACTTTTTGATTATACTATTTTTGTGGTAAACTGGATCTGTATCTAAAATTGTAAAGCACTCACAAGTTTGTGTATGTGTATGTTTTTTTAATGACACAGGTCATTGAGACTGCCTCTTCTCAAAGGGACACTGTCCTCAGCACTTTATACAGCAGTTTAAATAAAGTCATTCTTTATTGCCTATCCAAGCCCCAGCAGTCCCTCTCCGAATGCCTCGGCCTTCTCAGCATCCTGGGCTTTCTGCAGGAGCACTGGGATGTTGTCTTTGCCACCTACAATTCCAACATCAGCTTCCTCCTGTGTCTCATGCATTGCCTTTTGCTACTCAATGAGAGAAGGTAAGAGCTGCCCACTTGTTTCCTTGTCTGCTGGTGGTCCATGCAGAAAGGAGAGATTTAGAGGAAAGCTTGATTGAGGACTGAGTTCTGTATAAATGATATCATCCTTTTGTTTATCTGGTCTTCCATATTTTGTGAAATGTTTGATAACATGGTAAGTAATCCCCAAACTTGTCCATGTGACAGCAGTTAGAATCATCATGAGATAATAATTTACCCTATTTCCACAATTCTAGGATTGTAAGATAAGTCATTGATTTAATTTTTGAGGCAGAAAATGCCAACATTAGATGTACACATTGATTTTGTGATGCAGCCAGACTCTAGAAGCATTATCATTTGATAATTGCAATCTTAGAAAGGAAAAAATATAATACATTGTATTGTGCAATGCAGGAATAATTTTGCTTTCAGGAAAAAAATTACATATGCATACAATGTATGACATAAAATCACATCCATAAAAATGCTAGTTAAAAAGCTATTAAATTAAGCTTATTTGAGTCCTTTTCTTGAAGCCCCAAGTTTGGAAATACATCAGATTTCCAAATCTGAATGTGGTTCATGCACACTGACACAGAGAGAGAGACAGGAATTATGTTCACTTTCTGTCTCTCTCTCTCCGTGTCAGTGTGCATGAACCACATTCTCCAGCATCTCAGCATCCTGCTGGCTGTGAGTATGATGTCTTATGAATAGAGCCGTGAGAGTGTAGAGGGAGAGAGGACAATGGGATATCACACTTTGCTGTTGTCCTTTTTCTTCATTTTATTCATCCTAACAAAAATTATGTTTGATCACTTGAAAAAAAAACAATCCCCCACATCCTGTAGTGTTGACTACTGAGCAGTACAAAACACTAGCATTGACTTCTCATAAAACTCTCTGGGAAGCCCTGGGAAACCCTCCTAGCCCAGAGAGGCACTTGTCTTTGTATGAAAGAAAATAATCCATTTTCAGTATGTGGTTTAATTTGGGGAAGTTTTTTTTTTTTCTTCCTGTTTCAAGAGTTAGGCCTTGTCCATCCTGGAAGCACAGGTAAAGAGGAGCAGAATGACAACTGAATTATATGCTTGAGATGATACCCTCCTCAGTTCCCTCTGTTTAGCAAGATTGACTTCATTCTAGAAATTTCAAACATGGGCATTCTCATATGTCAGGTTATTTTCCTTTCCATGTTTGTCATTTTCAGTTCAATCCATGAACATTTACTGAGTGTCTGTTTGGTTTGTGTCATAATGGCCACGTGGACGTTAACACAATGGGGACCCCCAGAGCACATGGTTCATGGGAAACCTAATGTATAAACCACTGTGTCCCCACTTACAACTGGCTACATCATATGTGAGGCCTCCAGCAAAATTAAAATGCTAGGCTTGTGTCCAAAAATACCCAAAATTTCAAGATGATGACAGCAGAGCCCCAAAAAAGGGTTCTTCTAAGTGCAGGGCCCTGTGTAATTGCACAGGTTGCACGCCCATGAAGCCAACCCTGGCCCCATTCAAGCAGGATGAAATCAATGCCAAACAAAGGCAGGGTTCAATTCTTTGGGAAGGCACTGAAAGAAATGACTAGTTTTGATGGCGGGGAATCAGGAGTGGGCACAGGGGGACTGCTGGCAGCACAGGTGGGATTTCACAAGACTTCTCATAAGGAGAAAGTGTTTCTCCTACTATTCAGAATGCCACTCTAAAATATCTGCTGTGGAATTTCTTATAAAGTGTTTGCTTTAATTTGATTAGGCAAGTTTTTTTCCATATTGATATAGATAATTATTGGAGGATGATTATTTGTAATAAAGAACAATAGAATGGTCTCAAGGAAACTGGAATTTATTGGATTTTAGTGAAAAATCTCTTATCCACTAGTTACCCAGAAGGATTTGGATTGGAGCCCAAGCCTAGAATGTCTACTTATCATCAAGTCTTCCTTTCCCCAAATGAAGACGTGAAAGAAAAAAGAGAAGACTTACCAAGTTTGAGTGATGGTACATTTTATTTGTCATTGTGTGTGTGGGCGGGGGGGGGGCGGGGAGGGGGTGGTGGCAGGATAGTGGTACCTGCTAGGGTTGCATTCTTCAGTTCGTCCTTCCCGAAATAAGAAAGCAGATACTATTAAGGACATTTTCAAAAAGCCAGAAGACTTAGGAAATCCTAGGGTAATCATGTATTAGTATATAGCAAGGCAAGCTGGTAGAAAGTAACACTGGATTGGTCTTTGTATACTAGAAATGAAATGGAAAGGAATGAATCGATGCATAGGTGAAGAGAAAGCTCCATGGGACTTGGTTTGACTAGAAGCTTAATCCCAGGGTACTCTACGGTAAATTAAAACTGTCACTCCCCATCTCACCTAATTTAGTTCAAGCCATTACCTAGTTGCTGCTCAGCTTCATTCCCTAGTAAATGAGAAGGGATTAAACAAACCCATTACTCTCTATAAGACTTTTTGCCTAATGGAGTTTATTCTTGGATTTACTAATCTCAAATCAAGTTAAAGGGATTAGCAGTTATTTTTCTAGCAGCCAGTTCTATGTGTTTGAGAGATTATGCTCTCTCTTGGTCTAGGAAGCAGAAGCTCTGCCACTCCTTCTGCCAGTCTGGTTTGCAGACTGTTACACTTACCTAGTCATATGTTGTAATACAAGATTGTACACACGACCAGGTGCAGTGGCTTACACCTGTAACCCCAGCACTTTGGGAGGCCAAGGCGGGTGGATCACCTAAGGTCAGGAGTTCAAGACCAGCCTGCCCAACATGCTGAAAGCCTGTCACTACTAAAAATACAAAAAAATTAGCTGGGCATAGTGGCGGGCACCTGTAATCCCAGCTACTCGGGAGGCTGAGGCAGGAAAATCACTTGAACCTGGGAGGAGGAGGTTGCAGTGAGCCAAGATCACACCACTGCACTCCAGCCTAGGCAACAAGAGTAAAACTTCATCTCAAAAATAAAAGATTGTACACACAGGGCCTCTGTGTTCTGGTCAGGTAGCTGCCATGCTCAAAAATCTCGTGACTTTGAAGTTTGTTGGACATGGTTTTGATTACAACACAGAGGTACATACTTTGGGACTTGGCCAGTAGAGCTGGGCTGGGCACTGTCCATTCCCTTAGGGTGAGAGAAACAGTCTCCAGGGGCTGTTACCAGAGAGGGGACTCATTGGTCCAAGATCAGAGAAAATTTAGGCATGGTTCAGGGGATTACAGATGTGGGGCACAGCAGACACAGTTGGTTTGTTAGATCTGCTTATACCTGAAGAATTCCAGGGGACTGAAATGGGTGGGTAGTGAGAAGCAAGGTCCAGGAAAGAGGACAGGCTGTTCCTGAGCCGTGAGCCACAGGATAGTCTTGAGCTTGGTGTCCATTCCCCTGAGAGGTCAACATGTAAGGGAAGGTTGGAAGGAGCTGTTTGAGTGGAGCTATTTGACTACCCTGAGATCACACAAGGTGTCCCTCTGGTATCCAACAGAATTATGGGGTGGAGAGTTGAGGGTCTCTGAGCTCATAAATGATATGTTTCCCAGTCCTGGACATGTGAGGCAGGCAGGAATTGGTGGTAAGCAGGTGGAGGTGGAGAAAGGCCAGCTTGCATGGGTGTTGGTGGCATTGTTGTCAGGCCTGTGGCTCTCAGTACTGATTGCTTCTCGCTGAAGCTTGCAAAGCTGGGGTGATGTTCAAGACCTTAAGTGAGAAGGGTGTGGGTAAAACCACTCATGATGCACCATCTCCCAGCCCTCTCTGGGAGGGTCACTGAGGCCATCCTGAGTGTGCCATGTGCTCTCTCTGCTAGTCCAACACAACATCCAGAAGACAGTGCAGACTCTCTGGCAGCAGCTGGTGGCACAAAGGCAGCAGACCCTGGAGGATGCCTTCAAGATCGATCTCTCTGTGAAACCTGGAGAGAGGGAAGTGAAGATTGAAGAGGTCACACCGCTCTGGGAGGAGACGATGCTCAAGGCCTGGCAGCATTACTTAGGTCTCTATCCACTCGGCTCCAGGGAATGGGAACTCCTGGGTCTCACAGAGCCAGACTCCCGCAAGGTTCAACTCAGTGCCTAGAGCCTTTTCCACCTGGACCCTCTGTCTCATCCCTTAAGTGGATGGGATTTATATCACTGAAATCTTATGTATCTTTCCTCACAAATAATGAATATCACATGGCACCTTGGGTGAAAGCAAGGCCACAGGAGCCAACCAAGCAGGAAGATTCCAGTAATTTCTTAGAGGAAGAGGCCCATGTGGAGGCTGTGGCCTGGGCTCAGGAACTTGAGGTTCTAGGTCCTACCCTGTTATCCACCGACCAGCTTTGAAACCTTTCACTGTCATGCAATGTCCTTGAGCTTAGGTTCCTCATGTCCTGTCACTTCATGAAATGAAAGTTTTCATCCCCAAAATATTAATGTCCCTTGCATTCTATTCTGTTAGTGACCTCAACATTTTTATCATATTAGTATTTGGTACTAATAAACAACATTTTTGCATATTAGTCAATGCAACTGCAAGAATGAATTTTTAATTTTGTTTTCAAGGTGATCACTGCTCTCAACTTACACCTCCTATACTTGTACATCTTCCAGAATCACAAAATGTGCAGTGATTCAAGAGTTAGTTATTTCCATGTATATTGTCCCAGACTGTCCAGTGGCCCAGAATCTCCTTCTAAATTGGCTTTATAAATTAGTCCTGGCAAGTGTATATATACATATCTGGTTTTGTCCATTTATGCTGCTATAACAAAATACCACAGACTGAGTGATTTACAAATAATAGAAATTTATTTGCTCAGTTCTGGAGGCTGGGAAGTTCAAAATCAAGGTGCCAGTAGATCTGGTGCCTGCTGAGGGCTGTGTCTGGCATCTGCTTCTAAGATGGTACCTTGTTGCTATATCCTCTGTAAGGGAGAAATGCTGTGTCCTCCCATGTTGGAAGAGACAGAAGGGCAAAAATGGCCTGGGATGGCCCCCTTCAGCTTTTTTATAAGACACTAATTCATTCATGAGCGTAGAACCCTCATATTTTAATCACCTCCCAAAAGGTCCCACTTCTTAGTACCACCACAATTGGGATTAAGTTTCAACATGAATTTTGGAGGGAACACACATTCAAACGATAGCAATACCTGTCTACTTTCATGTACTTTTAAAGTCAAAATGTCAGATTCTATTTCAGAGAAAAGTAAAATAGGATATACATATCCATGCACATAGAGTGGAATAAAGTAGTAAAACTGTAAAGCTTACAAATGACTCTCTTTTTGCCCACAGTCCTATATTGAATACTTTCTATGTTCCAGGGTCTTTAAACACATCTTATGTAATATTCATGACCCCTCAACTGGTTTAGATATTGTTATCCCCATTTCACAGGATGAGAAAACTGAGGCTCAGCAACTTTAGTTAATCTGCTCAACATCTCATTGTGGATCAACAAGCCGTGGAGCTAGGAGTTTAGGCTAAGTCTGGTGACCTCAAAGCCCACAGTGTTTCTTAGCCAAAGGAAGGTCAGAAGACGGCAGTGTGAGCTTGTAGCCTGGGTTGTTTCTCTTTTTGGAGGCAACCACAGGGGGCTCATGCCCCTGGCTGGCCCTTTGAAAGCCAAGCTAGCTATAAAAATAGTGTGTGCTCTCACTTCACCTCTGACATTCTTTGCTTCCCTTCCCTCAGCATCTGAGAAGAAGTCACTGGCAAGTCGTTCAAATGTTGCACACCACAGCAAAGTCACTTTGTGGAGTGGAAGCCTGTCCTCAGCCATGAAGCTGATGCCCGGGCGGCAGGCCAAGGACCCTGAGTGCAAGACAGAGGTGAGCCCAGACCCCTTTTCCTCAGAAAAGTATCAGGCATTTGCTTCAAACCCCATGAGTCATATCTCTTCTTTGCTGCCTGTTACTAGACATGATCTAACTCCACGTCCTTGTGAGCATTTGAGGGTATGCATGTAGCTCCCCAGTGGAGGCTATGTTTAGGCTGTATTAGGCTGGCTCCTTGTTCCCATTCTCAACTGGAGTCAGATGTATTCAGAGGGCACTAGCCCACCACTCAGCAGCAGCTAGGGGTGTGAGCCCAGCAAAGGTGGACAGAAACATTCACTTCATTGCCAGGAGACACAGGGTTGGGCCACTTTGACTGTGTTGGGTAGGCCCTCTTTACTGTGTGGGGCAGACCCGTTGGGATTTTCTAATCAGTTTCTCAAAACCTGCAAAACAAGTCTTCCTAAAACTCATTGGCACCAACAATGTGTGTGTGTGTGTGTGTGTGTGTGTGTGTGAGAGAGAGAGAGAGAGAGAGAGAGATCAGGAACGTTGTTGTAAGGTATATGGAGTACGGTGGGTGGGGGGACAGGTTATCTCTGCCCCACAGTGTCTGGGGCCTCAGTTGGGATCGTTGGAAGGCTGAGTTACTCATATATCTGGTGGTTGGTGCTGGCTTTAGTCTGAGACCTTAAGGGGGGCTATTGGCTGGAACACCTACACATGGCCTCCTCATGTGAACTGGGCTTCCTTACAGCATGGTAGCAGGGTTTCAAAAGATAATGGAGAGAGAGAGCTCATCAGGCAGAAACTGCATTACCTTTTATGACCTAGCTTCAGGAGCCATGCAGTGTCACCTCCATCAAGATGGGGAAAAAATTCTGCCCAAGTTCAAGGGAAGGGAAATAGACTCCACCTTCTCATGGGGGAGTGACGAGGTTCTGCAGGAACATGTGGGACTGGAAATGTTGCTGAGGCTCTTTTGGAAATGCATGATCTGTGATATATTCTAATGCCAGTGATATATTCTAATCCCAGGGGCACTGACTTCTTCAGAGGTGGACTGTGGTTTTTGCTAGACATGGCTGTAGGGTCAGGAGACCTTGGGCAGTTTACTTAACTCCCCAGTGGGATAAATAACTGTGAGAACCCAGAAAGGTTCCCCAGGGAGGTAAAGTAGACAGCTGACAGACACATTAACATAATCCCAGCTCTTGGCCCATGAACTTCGGGAAATGAGGTGGAGCCTAAATCCCACCAGCTCAGAATCTGTAACTGCCTGTAAGTGCCCAGGCAGCCGAGGAAAAGGCCTTTCTTTTCCCAGGCTTTGGGAATCATAGGCTTCAGGGCCTAGAAAGAGTCCAGACATAGAAGGGAAGTCCAGAAATGAATGGCTGGGCTGACCAGCTACCTGATGCTAAGAGCTAAGGGCAAAGCACATGTCTTATTCAGGCTGTATTCTCAGGGAATTGACTTGTTAAAGGCACTGTTCAATAAGTTCATTGATAGACTCACTGATTGAATACGTGAATGTGTGAGTAACTCACTCAGATTTTGTAATAGCTGCATCAGACAGGTATTATAGCCTTGTTATAAAAATGTGGAAGCTGAATCTGAAAAAAAAAAAGAAAGTTAAGGGCTTTTCAGTCATTAAATGTCAGAGTGAAGATAGGATCCCATCTTTGTGCTGCTGAGGAGGACCTTAGGGAATTTATGGAACCTCTCAGAGCTTTCATTCCTGAACTTACCACTGGGAATATGCTCTGTTTATAATAGAGCATGTGGAGCCCTTGGAAGCTGTAAATGCTTTAGAAATAGGAGACTGTTTACAAATTCCATTTGGCCTTCTAGCTCTCTCTGCCAAGGTCAAGATCATCCTATAGGTGATATGTGTACCAAGTCCTAAAACTTGGAGCATTCCCACTTGTGCCCATATACCTGCTCCTGACCAGTGTCACTTGAGACAGAAGGGGCCCAGCCCCTCTTTCCTTGGCTTCATCATGGAGCTTCTCTTCCTTGGCCATTGTCCCCAGGAGGTCAGGACAGCCTGGCTGGGAGCTAGGGAAGGAATGTTAGGGTGCTGGGCATGGGCATTCATCTCATGGGAACCCTCACACCTGTTGATGCTGCCTCTTGCCAATGCCCTTCTCCCTTCCCCTCTAGTCACTCTCATTGATACAGCTCAGCTGCCTCCGAGTCCTGGGGACATGCATTGAGCAACAGTTCGTATGAAAGAAGGCTGAGTAGACCACCATGTTTAGGGCCACATAGGTGTCCCAAGTGGCTTTTAACAGTTTGCTCTTGGCTCACATTGAGAGATCTGGGAGAAAGAATATCCAAAGCCGGCTCTGTCTTGGGTGAGGGCAGGCTGCTGAAGATTTTGTCTTCTATATCCATTGAGGTCTTATTCACTTGTTCATTCAACAAATATTTATTGAGCACTTACTCTGTACCCTGCTCTCAGCATTGAGGTTACAGCAGAGAACAAAACTGACATATTCTCTTCTCTCAAGGAGCTGCAGTCTGGGAAGTAAGATAGACAATAAGCAAATACAGTTGTAAATATTGGGAGAACTGATGGCAATGAGAAAAAACAATGCAGGGTAAGGCAGGGAGGGGGGCGAGAGAGGGGCTGGGCTTGTTCAGATGGAGAAGGTCAGCAAAGTCATCTTTGGCAAGGATGCCTTGGAGCAGAGGAGATAATTTATGAAGAACATGAGCTTTGAGATGCTCTGGGAAAGAGGATCAGGCAGAGAGGACAGTTGGGCAATGGCACTGAGGTGCATGTGTGCTGGGCAGCAAAGGCCAGTGTGGCTGAACTGAAGTGGAGGGAGTCACCCGCAGCCACCCCAGCTTCCAGGCAGCCACGGGGAATGTCTCCCTCACCTTTTAGCACCAGGAAGAACTACTTTCAGCAACTCAAGAAGAGCAGAAATTTTGCAACAGATTATGTTTCTGTCTTTGATCTGGACACTCAGAAACTGAGAGAGATAAGCATGGTTAAGCTTTTGTAATTGCACACAACTAGTGGGATAAATTTTTGAGCCACCTACGCATACAAATGCATACATACATACCCTCTCCCTGGCTTCATTCTTCTCCACTGACCCCACTTTCCCTTCAATTTGATTTTTTCTTTCTACACTTTAAATTATCTTGTAGATTTTAAAAGACACATTATTTTGGAAACAAGGACTATGTTTTAATTTTTAAAATTAACTGCATCTTTGCTTAGCAACATCTTGTACTGGTAACTAAGTCTTGGATGGGCACAGTGCCTGCTACACGGTAGGCCCTTAAAGAATGCAGATGGAAGTGCTTAGAGCAAGGGGATAGATGCTCCCCCTCCTTTTGCTGAGATGAAACTTGCCAGCTTTCAGACACTGCATCCATCACTCAACTCTGTGAGATGCCTTTGTCGCTAACAGAAGGCACAACTTCTCAGGTACATATGTACACTGTGATGTCATAGGATAAGAGCATCAACTATTTGCCCTGGGGTCTGTTTAATTATTTTTAAAAATTAATTTTGATTATTACAGCTGATTACACCTCAGTGAGCAATGTAATTGATATTTTCTAATGTATCCCAAGGAACATTTTGTACAACATGCTTTTTGTTGTTGAAGGTTAAAGACTCCGTTATTGGTTTTTCCCTAAATATGCCCACATCATTAGTCCCTCCAGTGAGAAGGTCGCCATCTGGAAAAAGCAGCACGGAGACATTATTCAGGCACAAGTGCATGAAATTGGGGTTTCTGCATCTTCTGTCTCTCTTCTGGAAAGAAGAGGCTTGTAATTAAAGGAGTTGGTGTTGGAGGAAACATTATTCATTTGGTGTTATTCCTTATCATGTCAGCAGCTGATAGCCCTATAGCACTGATAAATTGTTCCTTGGAGTGAGACATATGATATAGAATTCATAATTCCTCTTACCTATCTTCATTTTCAGTAGAAAATGTTTTATTCCTGGTGGGTGAGCTGAACTTTGAGGCAGGGCTGATTTGATAGATGTTATTTCTTCTTCTTCTCCCCCTGACCCCATCACAGTCCCCTGTGGGAGCAAATTGTGACATCACCCACTATCTCTAGAAGGCTGTGAGTGTCAGCTTGTTGGACAGAGGTTGGGAACTTGGACTCCCTTGAGGCCACCAAAGGGCAACTCAGGGTGCAGGCCACTTTCTCATGTCCACCATCTGCCTGGAGAATCCAGACTGCACAGGGTGGCCAGCTCCCCTCTTCACAGCCGTGGATTCAGCTCTGCTTACGTACTCAATTCCAGACTTCCTTGTTTAAAAACAGCTGAAAAGACATCAACAAGCAATGTTGGTTTCTTAGTTTTGACAGGTACACCATGGCAATGTGGGATGTTAATAACTTTATAGGAAAACAGGTGAAGGGTAGATGAAAACTCTCTACTATCTTTGTAACTTTTATGAAAATTGAAAATATTCTAAAATGCAATGTGTGTCATCATCTGTTTATATAAAAGCATTAGCAATCAGAAAATGTGCATAGGAGTCAGGGGGCTGGAAGCTGGTTAGGAAGGGGCCATGGAGGAGGTGACGCCTAGAGCTGAGTCTGGGAGGAGGAAGGTCAAAGCCTGTGCAGAGGAGAGCTCTCGGGCAGGGAGAAGGCCAGAGACATAACAGGTGGTAAGAAAGGGGCCAAGGCAGTGGGTAAAAGCCAGGTCAGGGGGTACCACAGGCCAGCCTAGACACTCATGTTTACCTGTAGGTGAGAGGTTAAACAGAGTCATGGCATCTGCTCCTATAGGTGAGATTACAGGTGAGGGCCCCTGGTGGGGAGCCAAACTGTGGGTGACAGGGGGCTGTAGTGTGATTCAGGTGGGAGATAGTGGGGGCTGCAGTAGCTGTAGCTGGAGTAGTGAACAGCGATAACACACAGAAAATTCTGTTCAAGTGAGGCTGGGACAGGTGAGAAAAGAGGGCCACCCAGGGCAGGCCTGGCTCTGAGAAGAGACAGCACCTGGGGGTGGGAAGTCTGGCATTCAGATGGCTCTGTGGGATTCCACAGAGAGTGGAGAAAAATAAGAACCAGAGGAATGGGGTTGAGAGTACAAGGTGACTTCCAGCCCTTAAAGGGGTGGGAGCCTCTCTGGGCAGCCCCCGACCTGTGTACATAGAGCATAAGCTGGATTTCAGCCCACTTTCCTCCTGGGATCAACTGTATACATATGGACAGCTATCCCAGGCAGTGGGCCAGGCAGGCCCCATCAGAGGAGGGGGACCCACTCACCAGCCTGCCAGCAAAGATTGGGGGACTTATAGAAGAACAGGATTCACACGGAGGAGGGCAGAGCCCTGTGTTCCCCACAATTCCATGGCTTTAGGAGATAGCTGAGCAAGCTTCCAGTTGCTGTTTTCAAAGCCAGGTATTAGCAAACTGAAATGGCCCATGCAGGGAAGTCAGGGCTGTGTAAGAATTAACAGAATGGGATGAGAGGGCACCAGAAGCGTGAGGATGATCCGCTGGAATTGCTAAAAAAAGCAAAAGCTTTCTGTAGGAATTCTACATCTGCCCTGGCAAGGACAGGGAAACATTAGAAGTTTGCCTCACACCTTTCTTGGGGGTCCCCTAAAGGCTGCCCTATGAGACCTCCAATGAAACCAGCAGTGCCCACCATTGGGCGCCTTGGAGACTTCAGAGGCAGGGCACTTATGTGGGCAGGGTGCCTGGGGTCTGCCATCAGCTCCTTCCCTGACCAGGTGCCAGACCTGCCGTCACCCACCCTAGCATGAAGCAGCTCTGCCCCAGCAGAGGACAAGATGCTGACTGAGGCCAGTAACTCAGTGACAGCTCTGTTAAGGGCAGCTCTGGCTGAGGTCCTCGGTGAGGGAAATGATGTTTTTGACTATCCCCTCTGAGCACTTCACCCATTATCTTTTTGAAAAAAAAATCATTGTGGAAATTCTCAAACATACACATAAGTAGTAAAATAATGTGATGAATCCCCATGTATCTATCCATCACTTGACTTCAACAATTTTCAACTCATGGCCAATTTTCTCTCCTTATGACTTCCCACTTCCCCCCTATGCACTGAATAATTCTGAAGCAACATCCCAGACATCGTATTATTTCATGCATTACTGTTTCTGTATGCTTATTTTCTCTTTAAAGAAATCATGGGGCCCAAATAAAGATTGCAGAGAGGAAAGCAAATGTGCAGAACTGGAAGGCTTTAGCCATCATTGCGGGAGTGATCAAGTAGCACCTGGTCTTGCTTGCTGGCATGTTTGTGTTTGTCTCCTGCTGATGAGAGGAGGGTCTTGCTGAGGCTGAGGGCACGTTGAGCCTTGGAGAATCCCATGCTGCAGTTTCAGGAAGAAAGGCAATAAGCTCTGCGATGACACAGCTGCTTTCTAGTTAAACGCTTGGGCTCTCCATGTTCAGGAGCTGAGCAGCACTCCAGGCACAGGCCTCAGATTTCACTTCCCTGGGATAAAAAGCTCACGAGCCCAGAGAGTACTGGGAGTGAGAATGGATTTTTGAAAATAGAAAGAACTGGTTTGGAATGCAGGGGAAGTAACTGGTACAACAGAGCTGAGCTGAGGATGTCAAAATGCAGTTGTGAAAACAGAAGTCAGAATTCTCAGAGAAATTCTTCTGAAAAAGAGTTAAAGATCTTTAAAAGGTTGCATGACATTTTTAAAATCTGATATTCAGAAGGTCATCGTGTGAAACATTTTTACTTAAAGTTGTAGTAGATTCAACATAATGTTCGTGGGAAAGAGAGAAGGGTCTTCCCCAGGAGATGAATATGACTTTAAGAGAGGGATTTGGAGGTAGGTGGCCTAAACCTGGAGGAAAATGAAGACACATGAGGATTTCTAAAATGCAAGAGTCAGAGGACCCAGAGAGAGGTGAGATCTTGTGATAGGTTCTTACTGGCATGGCAGGAAAGCAGAAAGGCCAGCTTGTATCCACAGATCAAGAGAAAGCAGGCTGGAGGGATAAATTATTAAAAACCACAGAAAAGACAAGGGAGACTCAGAAAACCTGAAAACAGTGTTTCTAAGAAATCACAATGCTGTATTGTTGGAAAACGCAGTTGTATTCAGTGGGAGGAAAAGTCTTTTGAGTACGTAATTAAAGAGGACTATCTGTTAGATAAATAAAACCACTCAGAAAGGAAAGTATAATTTAAAAAACACTTTGAAAAGTATAAACTGCTCTACTGGCGTGAGCCATGTTCTAAGACCTTCTGCTAAATGGAATATTGGTTTTCTTAATTGTGGTGGGCAATGCTGCCAAGGACCTCTTGGCTCTTGGTGCTTTTCCTGAGATAACTGACCCTAAAAATAATGCCTCTCTCCCAGTCTGGCCTGAGAGCTCTTCATCGTACTGTCTGGGCTAGGAATATTTCCAGACGGGATATCCATTATGCTCTGATTATGGTGGTATTTGGGGGCAAGGAAGGAACAAAAATGTAATGAAGTCTAGTGTTATTTTTTAAACCTCAAAAGTTTCTGTTTTCACTTCAACTGAAAGTAAAGTCTATGTGGCCTGTATCATTGCCCTCAGTCTTGCAGGCAGCCGTGCTTCCTACGCCACACCCAGAATGACCTTCCCCAGAGGGACAGAGTCTGGTGATGGAGGTGGGGACACACTGCAGCATCAGGGAAATTCAACCAGCCTGGGGCGGTGGGGAGGGGCTCCATTATCCTTTTAGGTTTTCTGGACACTCAACCAGAGCCTTCTCTCTCATTTTTGCTCTTCCCTTGACACACACACACACATACACATACACACACACACACACACACACCTCTCTCACGCACACACACACACACCCCCACTCTCTTTCTCTCTCTCTCACACACACACACGTGTATATGCACACCCCCACCCACACACACATAGACACATCCCATTGTGCAAGCAATTGACATTAGAATTCACCTATCACACCAGTGAGAAGGAAGCGGGAAGGAGTCTGATCAATTGCACCAGAAACTCAGCAGCAGAACTGAACAAGGACGAGAGTTCCCTACAGCCCAGATTTTGAAAAAGTGGCAACATCACCAGTACAGCATTAGTATCCAGAATAAGGGGGAAGGATAAGAGCTGGATGAAGAAAGACAGTGGTTTTTCTTTTTCCATTTTAAGGAGTCTTAAGTGTCTCTGGTCTATCACAAGTGTCTGTTATAGGAGTCTGAAAAATACATGTAAATGAACAAAGCAAACACTGATACCTTTAATGATGTTTCTTTACTGAGTGCATCATTTGTGAGACATCTTTATCTTCATAATAGAAGGATAATTAACATCACTAATTATCTAATTAAGTTCATTAAGCATCCACCAACAGAGCACCGTGAAGTTGACATTATGTTCTACTGTCAACAAATGCTTTTGATTTCTTAGGAAGTAATTAAAATGTAAATTAGCATACAATTATATGCACAGGGGAAGTTTTGAATCAGATATTCATTTCAAAATTGCTTAGAGCAACACAGTTTTTGTTTGTTTCTTCTTCAATAAAAGCAGTTATTTTGCTGCTAGTGGTATATATTAAAGTTTCCATTGGGCTGTTCAGCTCTTGAGTGGTAGCAAGGTAATAAGTACTATAAGACACAGACTGTTCCATTGATATATTTGTTACTGCACTTTGTGCTTTTTTCTTATTTGATCATTTTGTGCTTTTTTCTTATTTGATCATTTTATTTAATGTTTGTTTGTATTTGTGTCCTTCATGTTTAAACATATCACAACTGATTTTTTTTTTTTCGGAAAAGTTTCTGTAATTCCTGCCTTAAATTCTCTAGCTGAGCTTTCCCTTTAAAGGTATTTTAGGGCAAATCTTCTAATGTATGTTTTCTGTCAGGTTAGGTTCAGGGAGTATCATCCATGACTTGCTGAAAATAGGTTACACACATTCCCTTACCCATGCAGGAAAGAGAAACTGCACATATCAAACTTGAAGTCCAGCCATCCTTAGTTGTAAGCTCACATTTTCCTGCTTTCTTAGGGCAGAGAGCAGACACGGAGCTTGTGCAAGCCCTGTGAATCAATGGAATATTCTCCATCTGAGATCATGATGGCTTCTGATAAAATATTATAACTGGAATGGGCACACTGTAGTGCTAAACGCAGTAACCTTCTTAGATTAGGGGTCTTCCTGAAACATCACAGAGTCACTGCACACCTGCTGGGAACAGGCTACCCAAGATAGAAGCCAGCATGTTCAAGTCTCCATAGCTTTCATTTTTAAAACAATTCTGATTGAATCCTGAATGCCTATCTTTTAATAAAGCAGCTAGTTCAGTGGATGTGATGTCCACTCTGTTATCTTTGTACATGAAGATGCCGGACCACTTGAGCATCAAGCTGATGTCACCTGATGCAGATGAGAAGAGAAAGTCTCTACTCATGACATCAAACTCCCTCAACTTCTTCTTGGATGATTTTTCCAGGAATAATTGGTACTGGATCCAGGCCCCTCAGTTTTGTGTGGAGAAGATTTGAGATAAATGCAAAGCAAATACAGAGGTTTAAGAGAGACTGTCCTTTGTCCCCTTAAAAGGATCAGTGTCAGGGCCTGACTCTGAATAGAACTGGCAGAACCACTAACAGCCCATCAATGTGGGTGCGGGAAGCTATCCTGAGGGCCCAAGCAGAGAAAGACAGGCATCATCATTGCACAGCAGCTGGTGGTAGATGTGAAACCAGCTGGTCTGCGACAAGCAGTGTCCTCACTGCAGGGAATGGTCGCCTGTGCCAGAGACAGCAGTCGCCAGGTGTGTCCTGACTTCTGAGCTCTGCAGCAGGACCTGAGCTGTGGTGCGGTCCGCGGCTGCCCAGAGGAGGACGCCTTGTTCTCATTTGACTGTCCAGAGGGGCTTTCTCCTGCAAGTTCACTCGAAGGACAATGGCTGGGCTAGCAGAGACCCCGAACTAACAAAGGGACCCTGATGCTTAAACCGGATGATGCTGATCTTCTCCTAATGTGCAGCAAGCTCCTACCTCAGCTAGTTGATAAAAATTTCCTGTACCAGAAATGTTGGTTCTTGTTCTTAAACCTTATCTTAAAATGTAGTCTGCCATGTTGTGACTTAAGTGCAAAGTCCACACACTTAATGAATTATCAGTAGCTACAGTGACTTGCTTTGTCCATGGCTTGCTTGCCTATCTCCTGCCAGTCACACTCTTCCTGGTCTACAACTGTCGCTGAAGGAGGAGTCTGTCTCTCTACCATGGGTTCTGCAATCTGAGAGTGACCCAAATGCCATCTCTTTGACTGTTCTTTTGGCCATGCAGCCTCCCAAAAAATGGGGTTAAAGTTGGTTTGCTTTTGGCAACAAGACTATGGTCTGAAAACCCTTCCAACAAGGAAGGCACTGAGGTTATGCAAGCTCCACGAATCAATGGAATGTTCTCATCCAGGTAACAACCACTGCCCGTTTAAAGGTGCATTGTATCTAAATGATACCGAAAAGTCCTTAGGGACAGATACTCAGTTCCTTCCCCAACAACTTCAACCTGAACGGAAACATCTAGTTTGGAAAGATTAACCAGATCTCACCTCCATCTGCTAGGTATTTGCTGATATTCTTGTTTCTTTCTCCTCTATAATGACTTACTTTATTACAAAGCCAGGCTGTGTTTATATGCCATATATGAAGGCTGTGATTGAGGAAAAAATTGAGTAATACAGAGTCCACATCTGCAGGTCAACTTGCAATATTTTAATTTACTTAAATACTTTACCATTTGCAATTCAACAATACATGGAGTATTGAGTAGGCATAGCACTCCTTTCTATGAACACAGAGATGACACATGGTCCTTATATTTAAGGAGTCCTTATAGTCTGCTTGTTTATCTCCCAAGTTAGATGACATCCAAAAATAAATAAATAAATAACAGTAGATGGATTTCAGAAAAAAAATGTATACTGTATGTATCAAGATCTTGTAAAGTAAAACAGATTTGAAATTAATTTAGGAATCTAGCAACTTAAAGGAATACTGGGTTGAATCCTTTTGAAAATCGAATGTAGTTCTTTAAAGGATACTTACATGCAAGCATCTATTTTGAGGTTCAGATTTAGATATATTGGACTTCCCAATGTAAGATGTACCTGCATTCTGAAAATTAGAGTAGTGGTTGGGGGGAAAGGTATCACCATCCCAGGAGATGTTTTTAATTTTTAAAAATTATGAGTTATGAGGAAACACATTTTTGTGTATTCATCTAAATTAAGTGTTTTCAAAAACATATTCATCAAGGCAAAAATGCTCTAGCATTCAAAAGACAGAAGTGTCCCAAACTAAAAGATAAAACGGCAGATGGCCGTGGAGGGGAGAATCAGTCTGGGCCCTCCTGAGGCACTGCTGCCATTCACAACCCGCTAGGCCCCCCACTCACAGCCGGGCCGCCTGGCGCCTGCCGCCTGCTGCATGAGTTACAGCCGCCTTCTCGCCCTGGGACCCATCTATTATGAGAAACCATTTTGGTTAATTAAAAAAGTCTTTCAAAGTCTCAGAACAGGAAGTTCTGAAATTTTCTTCTCTTCGTTGTTGTTGATGGGGGTTGATGTAAACTTGGCTCTTGGGCCTGGCAAAGAAGGAAGGAGAGATGGAATGTGGAGGAGAGAGGGGAGACAGCAGAAGAAAGCACTGAGTCCAGGCCGGGTGCAGTGGCTCACACTTGTAATCCCAGCACTTTGGGAGACCAAGGCGAGTGGATCACCTGAGGTCAGGAGTTTGAGACCGGCCTGGCCAATATGATGAAACCCCGTCTCTACTAATAATACAAAAAGTAGCTGGGTGTGATGGCACACCCCTGTAATCCCAGCTACTCGGGAGGCTGAGGCAGGAGAATTGCTTGAACCCTGGAGGCAGAGGTTGCAGTGAGCCGAGATTGAGCCATTGCCCTCCAGCCTAGGTGACAACAGCAAAACTCCTTCTCGAACAAAAAAGAAAAGCACCGAGTCCAGCCCTGGCCCAAGAGTGAGGCTTGGGGCTCCCAGGTGCTTGTGTATCCACTATCACAGGGAGTGACAGTGGCAATGGTTAAGATCTTCGAATCAAATGAAAGAGCAATTGAACAAGCCTGAGTCTTTTCCACTCTGGATTTAAGGGATTCCTCAAGCCTAAGGCCTGCTGTGCAGCTCAGATGACAGTGAGTAAAACAGATAAGGCTCCCACACTCTGTTTGAGGGGAAGCAGATGGCAAGCACATGGGAATGCATGAGATAATTCTAGGTACATAAAGAAATCTGAAAGACCTAGATGATGCGCCAGAGACTTACCTTGTGATGGCTGTAGGTTGGAAGGTCCAAGAAAGCTTCTCCAAGGAGGTGATAATGAGAGATGAAGGAGCGGCCCTCCAACATCTGGGGGAGGAGAGCTTGGGAAAGGACCCAGCAAATGCCAAAGCTCCGGGGTACAAATGGGCTTGTATATTTGAGAGCAGAGAGAGGCCCATGTGGCTGGGCACAGACACCCCTTGGGGGAGTGGGAGTGGCTCAGAGGAGGTGGCAGGAGCCGGCCACCAAGCATCATTCCAAGTTCTTCAGGGAATTGGGAAAGTTGTCTATAACTCTATATCTGTGGCCTCTATATCTGTATTTTCATCTGGCTCTAGCTCTCCTTCTCCTCTACCAAACCCCTGTCCCCACACTGAGAGGGCTTCCTTCAACCTCCCCCACACACTCATGATTTCCTGCCATGTTCCAGGCCCTTGGGTTAAGGCCAGGGAATACTGATGAAAAAGGGCACAGTCCCTGCCCCAGGAGGTCCTCCTGCTTCTAGGCTGGTGAAATAATTATGCTGTAAAAAGAGGTGCCCAGAAGAGAGAGTGCAAGTCTGGTTTGGAGGAGCTTGATCTGAGACTTGGAGGAGGAGGTGGAGGAGGAAAGATGTGAGGGCAGGTTGATGGTGAGGAAGAGCCCCCTCCAGATGCAAAGGATGGACCCTCGTGATCATCTGCCTTGTGGGCCAGGTGCTGTCTTGGCATTACTGGAGTATCCTATCCAGTTCATCTTAATTTTATGTATTTATTTATATTCTGACTCTCTCCCCAGAGGCTTTATGGTACCTCTAGATGAGGATGTGTGCAATAAAATAAGGAAATGAGATCAGGAAAGAAAATGATCATAGAAGAAAGTCAATTCCTAGGAAATTCAGAGCTTGAATATACAGTCTCTAAAGACTCACCGTCACATACCAGCACTGTGCTCCAGCTTCCTGAATGCCACTGTGGAGTGGTAGGCAAGAGGGTACATGCATCCATTCCTCATCCATCAACTGTGCTTCTGCCAAGAGCCAGGTCCAGGGCTGGAGAATAGGGACACGGGGTGAGCAAAGCAGATGGCCTCTGCCTCACAGCTGACTCTGCCCCATCCTGCCATCATGTCACCCCCACTGTGAGTTTCTAAAGATCTGAGCTGACAATGTCATGCCTCTGATCAAAAACCATCATTAGTTTCCAAGCTGTGCAGACTCAGACTTGTACCAATGGAGTTAAGAAGCCTTGTGTAGCTGACCCCAGCTGCTTATCCAAGTTCATTTCCTGTCACATTCCCACATGGCATCTTTGCTCCAGGCAGGCCCACTTCCATATTTTGTAGTAGTGCAGGCTATTTTCTCCCGTCTCTACCCTTGGGAAAATGTGGTCCTCTCTGCTTAGAGGAGGCCTGCAGGGATACTGTCCCTTCTGAAAGCCCACCAAGCCCTCTCCAGCCTGGCTGTGAGCCGGTGTGGCCTCCTCTGTGGGCAAGTCATTTTCTCATTTACTCCCTCACAAGAACTTTAAGTTCCTGGTGGGCAAGCCTTGTTCCGTGCCCATCTTGAAGGCCTTCGGGTTTGCACAGGGCCTGAACTAGAGCAGGTGCTGTGAATCACTGGCTGAAAAGAGACTGCTAGGAAGAAGCCAGGTTCATCTATTTCAGGCTTACCTATTTTTTATGCACAATGGCTGCATCTATGGGGACCCAGCCTAAAGGAGGGAGAAATGTTGGTATTGACCAGTTTACCTATGACCCTCAGGCAGCCCAGTGGTGAGTCACACAGTAGGACTAACATATTGGCTAGTCACAGCGTGGCTTCCAAGAACATCAGGAAGAGTGGCTGTGCAGCATCCTAGAGCTGGCATGTGGTTGGGTGGCATCAGGAAGCTCCTGGAGTGGGTGCAGCTTGCAGCCAGTGCTGCCAACGGCTCTACTCTGAAGTCGCAGCAATGGGGCAGTCCTGACCAGGGTGACCTTTTTGCTCTTCATAAAGCCCGAAGAAGAGATCTCCCCATAGACTCCAGCCCTGGTTGTGATCTGTCTTTGAAATCTGTCAGTTTTGGGGTCCAGGTGCCTCAGTGCTAGGGGAGAATTATTTGGAGTGAAAGTTCCTATATTAGTTTCCTGGGACAGCCATAGCAAAGTACCCCAGCCAGGGTGGCATAAACTACAGACATTTATTGTCTCGCAGTCCCGGAGGCTAGAGGTCCGAGAAGAAAGTGATGGAGGGGCTGGTTTCCCCTGAGGCCTCTTTTCTGGCTCAGAGATGCTGCCTTCCCCATGTCCTCACGTGGTCTGTCCTCTGTACATGACCGTGTCCTCATCTCCTGTTATAAGCACACCAGTCACGTAGGATTAGGGCCCATCCTAATGGCTTCACTTTAACTTTATCACCTCTTTAAAGGCCCTGTCTCCAAATATTGTCACATTCTGAGGTACTAGGGGTTAGGGCTTCAACATATGAATTGGGGGGAACATGGTTTAGTCCATATCAGTGCCTCACGTCTCAATACATATTCAGGGAAAGATGTTTGCATGGGCTGAAACTCCTCTGACCCCAGGGTAGATCTTCACATTCATCTCTTATCCAAACCCCCTCCAGTAATCCCTAACCTTCTTGCCCTGCCTGAGGGGGTGTGAGTCTTTAAGAACATTACCTGTGAGAATGAGGCCGACAGAGATGGGGTGAGAATAGGCGAGTTCAGGGAAGGCCAGCGTGGCGACACCTCCCACCTGTCTAAGGCTCACAGAGGCCCTGACACCCACAAAGGAAAGCAGAGAGGAGAGAAGATGGCTTCCTTGAGAAGGCATGGTGCCTGCAATTTTAAAGGATTTGTCTTTTGCTATACCAGTGTGGATTTTTTTTTAAGTAGTCATTCTTCATGTACTCATGACAATTGAATTTAATAAAAACATCACAGTTCGAAAAAGACAAATTAGAAACCACCGTTCATCTCAGAAATTAATATGTGAGTGAATTTAACAAGAGATGAATTGCACTGTGGTGGTCTGGTCCCTCTTCACCCGCTCGGAGCGCCAGTTGTTTGTCATTATAGCTGGAAATATGATTATTACTCTGGTATTACTTGACATTTGTTAAGGATCCAGGGGCTGCATCTCCATAGCAGAGAAAAGTGCAATTACCTGGGCACTCAGAGAAAAGAGCCTTTTCTGGCCTGAGTCATCCAAATACACGTCCCCCAAAGACCCCTGAGCCCCGACCATAGCTTGCTGTGGAGCCCAGGCTGTCCCGTCACTCAGTACACACTGTGCCTTCTTCCTCAAGGGCAGCCAGCATTTTCTGGGCTCACATAAGGATAGTATACACATGATTTACCAACAAACAGGGACAGCATTTCATCTCCTGGTGTTCTCATTAATTGCTTCTATCACTCAACTAAAACCAGGCCTCCACTAAGAACTTGTATTCCAAGGTGGATATGTCAGCCTTCTGAGGAGGACACATAATAGAAGTGTTTAGGTCACCCGTTTACTGGATCCTTTGCAACTAGTAAAAGACTGCATTGCAGATGGACTTAAACAAGGGGTGGGAGTAAGAGCAGGAGCTGCCCACCCTGACCCTGCTCCTCGTAGGTGGCGTCAGCAGGTCATGCTGGGTCTCTTTAATCCTGACCCCTGGGGTATTTTACTCTGGGCAGGGGGTGACCAGCTGTGGCGATTTGGGCCCCAGTGAGTGAGGAAGGTCTGTGAGGTTCTTTTCAGTCCCTCAAAGTTTGATCACTGCCTCCACTTGGGAAGCCCTGAATCATGACCTTGAGGAGCTGATTTTGGCGGGCTGGTGGGGAAGCCCCTCACGGCGACACAGAATGCTGCCCCTGCAGAGCTTACCTACTGCTGTGGCACCCCGAGGAGGCGAGCTGGGAAAGAGAATGTTCATGACAACAATTAGTTTACACGATAACCACAGAGTGCTCGCACAGGTGTGGCTCCTCTGTTCCTCACTGCTACGACTGTGGTCACCAAATCCCTCATCCTCTTAGCCAGCTCTGGTGCAGGACAGGTGGCAAGTGGGTTACCATTGCGTCCAGTGAGAATGACCAATGAGAACTTGGGATCTCTGGGGGTGGTATCTACCTTGGCAGCAGTTTCACTCTGCCCTCCATGCATGGGGGATCCCCTGAGTTTAACTGGAATCTGTCTTTGGTCAGGGAGAATCAGATGCTAAAGGAATCTGGAGTTGACATTAAAATCAAGCAGCATGACCATTGCTTTCCTTTATGGATTTTTTGGTTAATGAATACACAGAAACCTTAAAAAAATAATAAAGAAGACAGCCTATGGAGTCACATAATATATGGGGTTAAGTTCTAAAGTCTATTTATAAAATGGAAATCAAGTTGTCAGCAATACTCAACATTCCCTCAAACTATCCATAGAATACATGACCATCTCCAGTTTGGTGAATTCTGCACCATCCTGCACATCCACCAGGCAGCTTTTCCACCATTTTGTACATCAATCAGTCTTTCTTTGTTAAGTACCAGATGAAGTGACTGGCTTGTGCAATTTCAGCAGACAAGACTTACCCCCAAAATTATTGTTTTTAAACAGGAGAATTACATTTAATACAACGAGCTGTTGACAGCCAAGAGAGCCTGTGGAATGGCGTCTCCCTCAGGGAGCAGAGACTCCCATTCTCCATCCCAGGTTCACAGTGGGGGTTAGGATGGAGGGTTGGGTGAATTCCCATTGTGATTTAGAAAATCATTTTTAATTTTGGGATACTTTCCACATTCACATTCACTACTTCCATGTCCTCCCCACCCAGTTTTCCCTATTGTTAACATCTTATTACCATGAAACATTTGTCAAAGCTAAGAAATTGACATTGTTGCATTACTATTGACTAAACATCAGACTTTATTTTAATTTCATCATATTTATCTGCTAACCCAGAATTCAATCCAGGGTACCACATTACATATAGTTATCTTATCTCCTTAGTCTTCTCTGGTTTGTGACAATTTCTCAGATATTCCTTGTTTTTTGTGACTTTGACAGCTTTGAGTATGGTCAGATATTTTGTAAAATACCCCTCAATTTGGTTTGCCTCATGCTTTTTTCATGATTATCCTTGGGTTATGGGTCTTTGGAAGGACAACCACAGAAGTGATATGCCCTTCTTTCCACATGATATCAGGGGATACACGATGTCCATATAATGTCATCACTGCTGATGTTAACCCTTATCATGGAGTTAAGGTGGTGTCTGTCAGATTCCTCTATGGTAAAGTTACTGTTTCTGCCTTTCCACACTTGATACTTTGGAATCAAGTCACTAAGTCCATACCACCCTCAAGGGGTGTGAGCAATTAAGCTCCAATGTCTGGAAGGGGATTATCTACATATATAATTTAAAATTCTTCTCTAAGGAAGTTTTGTCTCTTCTTCTGTATTTATTTCTTCAATCTTATTTATGTCGGTAGAGATTCATTCATATTTATTTTGTAATTTGGGCTATCATCCATTAAGCCCATTAAGTTACTTATCTTTTTGTTCAAATGGTTCCAGCTTTTTTCTCATAGTATTTAACTGATCTCATATGCGCTTTCCCTGTAACTCTCTTGATCTCCTTTTTTCTGCTCACAATTTTGTTTTAATACAATTCCACTATAACCCTTTCTAACATTTTTGGTGTGTGTATTACTCAGAAAGTATTAGGTTATGTTACAGTAACAAAAACTCTCAAGTCTAACTGGCCTAAAATTGCAAATGCTTATTTCTCACTTGTGCTATGAGTACCCTGAGTGTTGGCCCGAGACTCTCTATACCTTATTCTCACTCAGCGACACTGGCTCATGGTGCAGCCACTATCTAGAACATTGAGTGTTGCCACACAGAGCTGAAAAAGAGAGATTAGCAGACTGCTGTCAAGCTTCTGCACATCTCTCCCTGGCCTCACCAAGATCAAAAGTAGCAGGAAGCTTCATCATGCCACTACCTATAGGAATAAAGGCCTGGAAATATTTGACAAACAATACTAATGGCCAGCACATTGTATATTCTGTTAGTTTTTCTTTCCTAGGCAAATATACACAGATTTAATTCTTGTTCTTGTAAGCATACTGTTTTCTATTCTCCTTTTAAAATCTTGATATAGCAAGAACCTGGTGCCCATCAATAGGTCCTTTTTGATACCAGGGCTGCTGTGAATGATTAGGTAGGTTGTATGGAAGGGCATCTGGCCAGAATAGAAAAAGGAGACTGAAATCCAGACTTTGCCCCACTATTCAAGTCATCCATCTAGGGTCAGGATGGTGTCCACCCAAAGAGGATGCCGAGGTGCTGCAAGACTGGGGGCAGCCGTTGGTGAGAGCTTGATTTGTGCTGACTGCATAGCATTCTATCACAGGATGGACCCTCCTCCATATGTGGATGCTTAAATTGTTTCATTTTGTGCTGCTATCAACAGGGATGGTGAAAAATGTCCACTATTTGTGCAAATATCTTATGATTTCCTTGGGATAAATTAATGGCAGTAAGAAAGGTGAGTCTAAGGATGAAATGGTAATCACATGTCCGTTCATGGCCAATACAGTGCAGGTGAGGACTCGGCGTCCCTCCCCTCTGAGTTTAGTCCCAGGCCTGACATGTAGTGCGTGGCTGAAGTGGCCAGGACCCGTAACTGTCATCGTGGCATCAAGTTGCTGAGCAGGATCTGATCTGCTGCCTTCAGATATCAGCCTTTCTCATTTTTGTGAGGCCACACAACTGTGATTACAGGACTAATGATGCTTTAAACAAACAAGTGTAATGACTGTCATCAGTGGTTAGCGGGTGTTTCCTGCGGGACAGCTTGGTCAGTAGTGTCACCAGCAGCTGGCCAGCCCTAGGGTGCCCCAGGCAAAGGTGGGTACCACCAAGCTTTGGTGAGCCCACTTAGAAGTGACCCTCCATGGAGATGTGCCCAATTTCCCATTCCAAGTTCTGACTTGTCTCCTGCAGCCAAGGCCCTGAGGAGGCACTGGGAGAGCAGGGCCTAGACCCGCTTTGCCTCCCAAATCTCCAAACAGCTCTTAGAGGCCCTTTGTTCTACTCCAAAGGTTCTCAAACTCTTTAATGTGCTGGCAGTTGCTAAGCAAATGCTATTTAGTTCCAATAAGCAATGCAGCACTCAGCTCTGAATCTGTCCCTGCTTGATGTGCTACATTCACTGCTGTCTAGGCAGATGGGCCTCTGCCCTTGACCTGACCCAAATCTCCTTCCTCCTGTCTCCACATCCCTGAGTATGACAACTTTCCAGGGCACAAAGGGCTCAAAGGCCAGTGGGAAGGTGGAGATACACCGGGTGGAAATACATGAGAGAAAGACGCCCATAGTGACAGAGTCCAAAGACTGATCTTCCTACTCTGCCACTTCCTGTATTGACAGTCACTTATCCTCACTTGGCCTCGATATCTTCTCCTGTAAAATGATAGTAATCATATAAATTTGTCAGGAGGATAAATTTTAAATGTGCACATGCATAACTTCTTTGTCAGTCATAAAGTGCCCTGTGCCTGTTAGTTAATTGAAAGTAATGTTGAGAGAACAGACCAAGGGATGATACATATTTGGGTTATCAATACTCTTAGATAATCCACTGATGTGCTCTGGGTCTGTTCCCTGTTCCATTCTCCCAAGCATTCACCACTCTGTTCAAGATGCTGCTCAGCTCTCAGGAGAAGCAGTCATTTTGCCTCCTACTCCACTCTAGAAACGGAAGCCATGAGGTGTGAACCATCTCACTCTCCGTGCACCAGCTACAGCCTCATCCCCATCTGCAGCCATCTTCAAGCCCTCCCTACAAGCTCCTGGCCTGAACAGCCTCTCCCGTCCTCATCACTCAACTCAGCCGCTTCATGGGCTGTGTGTCCCATCCTTATTTTCTTCCCCTGTAGAACCTGAACCCTCAGTTCCTTTCTGTTTCGTTTGCTTTTTGACCTTCTCTTGTCCACTGCCAAGCTCCCCTCAGCCTCTAATATACTGTATGCTCTGTCTTCATGTCCTTATCTCCAAATCTCTAATTGACCCATTGTTGTTTAATCACTCGTCTGAAATGATTCTTGCAGAAATTACCGAAGACCAATTTCTACAGCCAAACCCAGTGAATATTTTCAGACCTCATCTCACCGGGCTTCTCTGATGCATTTACCATGTTTAAACCACCCTTGGTTTTCATGATTTTCCCCAAGCTGCTCTAACCCTTCTCCTCCTGGCCTAAATTTTGCTGGTATTCTCCAGTTTTCTGACCTTGTCTGTCCTTACTCTCCTTGAGGGATCTTATTATCTCTCAGGAGTCTCTGTCGCCTGGTTGCTAATGACTCACAAGTCCACATGGCTGTGGACCCCTCTCCTGAGCTTTCTTCTAGAGATATCCCGCTGTGCCACTGACACTTCAAATTCAAAATGTCTTCATGTCACACAAACTTGCTCTTATTTTTGTGATCTCTTAACTTTTCTTAGTTTGTCTAATTTAATCCATTCAATTAAGCAAACCAGAAATTTGGCAGTAATTCTTGCCCTCTAATGCAATCAACAATTCCTACCAACTTACTCTCCAGATGGTTCTTGAGTGGGATTCTTCCACAATACTGAGTCCACCATGTGAACTCTCACCTGGGCTGTCATAACACTGTCCTAAGAGAGTGCCTTGCTTCCAGGCTTGCATTCATTAAATCAATTCTCCAAATTACAGTTGGTATAAGGTATCAAAAATATTAAATCAAAAAATGCTAAAATTAGAAAATGGAACCACATCAGGCTTCTGTTGGAAAGCTCTCATTAAAGATTCAGCTAAAGCAACATCTCAACCTTCTGAACACTGGGTCATACCAGTCCCCTCTTCTGTAAGCCTCTCTCACTGTACCTGTGTCACTGTGTCATCTCTGCCCCAGCATTGACTGTGTTAGCTCATAGCTATCTGTCTGTTCGTTAGGCTCTACAAAGCCAGGTGTGGGGTTTATCTTCGTAATCTAGTGCCTGGAAAATAGTAAGTGATCAATGAATGTTTGCAGAACTTAACAACAGGGAGTAACTTTGAACCCTGGAATGGAGATTCTGAGCCAGAGTATAACCAATTCTGGACTGCAGCTATTGTAGAAAAGGTATTTCTTTGAAGTATGAAGATGTTTATAACCAAACTCATAGAGCATTTTCTTTAAGTGCTAATTTTAATTTTTAGGAGACAGTCTAAGTCATTTTTTTTTTTTTTTGACAAGGTCTGGCTCTATTGCCCAGGCTGGAGTACAGTGGTGCGATCTCAGCTCACTGCAACTCTACCTCCGGGGTTCAAGCCACCCTCCTACCTAAGTCTCCTGAGTAGCTGGGACTACAGGTGTACACCACCATGCCCAGCTAATTTTTGTATTTTTTGTAGAGATGGGGTTTTGCCTTGTTGCCCAGGCTGGTCTCAAACTCGTGAGCTCCAGCGATCCGCCCACCTCGGCCTCCCAAAGTGCTGGGATTACAGGCATGAGCCACTGCACCCAGCCCTAAGTCTTTTTTTTTCAACTGATCTTATTAATGACTTCAATATTTTACACCCCAACAGTCTCACTAGGCGATCCCTTGCAGTTTACAAAATATTTTCATTCTACTGTCTCATCCTAGCTTCATAACATCTCAGCACAATAGACAAGAGAGGTCCTAGTAACCTCATTTTATAGATGATAAGTAAAGTTTCAGAAAGATTGAGTGATCTCTCCTGTAATGTGACTACTAAGAACCAAAAACTAAGGTGTCTGGATTTCTGCGCTTTCTGCTTCCCACACTGTTATTCTGTAGTGCTCAGAACATGAAGGTCTTTTCCTATTATCACACTGAAGTTGGGCTGACTGAACCTCCCTACTTTGGGCCCACTTAACCCATGGGTGTCATCATGACAAGGCCTATCCCTCTGCTGCAAGATACCCCATTTATCTGAAGGCAGCTGCTTTGCATCCAAGGTCCCCTAAGAGTTCTGTATTTGTGCTGCATATCTCCAAAGTACCATAATAGAAAAAAGTCTGGGCTTTTGCCTTAGATGTAGAATTAGTCAAATTTTTCAGCATTTTATGTCACTTGTAATGCTCATAATGATTGTTTTACTTTTAAATATGTATAAACAATGTAACAGCAATATTGAAAAAAATTGCAAACAAAAAAAATGAAAGAAAAGAAAAAGAATGAAATCACCCTATTCCCTTTATTCCAAAACAGTAACTGGGTTTTTAAAATGATATTGTTTTTATATTTTTTAGTGTTTGCCAATAAACACTTTTTAATTTTATTGGAGGATAATATACATAGGGAAAAAGTGGATCATAAATATACAGATTTAAGAATTTTAATAAAGTGAACATGTAATCACCATTAATGATACCCCAGTAGCATCCCTGACTCCATGCCTCCTTCCAGTCTCTATCACCTTCTTCCCCCAAAGTAGTCCCTCTTTTAGTATCTAATATCATAAATTAGTTTTCCATATATTAAATTTTATATAAATGAAATAACATAGTATATACTCTTTGGTCTGGCTTATTTCACTGCAAATTATGTTTGTAAGATTTATCTGTAGTAGTGGTTCATTTGTTTTCACAGTGGTAGGGCAACAGTTCTCAAACTTTTTGGTCTCAAGACCTGTTCACTTTCTTAAAAATCATTAAGGACTCCAAAGAGCTTTGGCTTATGTATATTTTATCTATTCATAGTTACTATATTATAAATTAAAACAATTTTTAAAATGATGCATGTGCTAATTTATTTTAAAATAATAATAGAAATAATAGACCCATTATGTATAAACATAACATTTTGAATGAGTACAGTAGTCCCCTCTTACTCACAGTTTTGCTTTCTGCAGTTTGAGTTATCCATGGTTAACCATGGTCCAAAAATATTAAGTAGAAAAATCTCAGAAATAACTTATAAGTTTTATAACTTTTGTTACAGTATATTACTATAATTACTCCATTCATTATTAATTATTGTTGTTAATCTCTTTCTGTGCCTAATTTATAGATTAAACTTTATCATAGGTATGTATGTATAGAAAAACAGTATATATAGGGTTCAGTACTATCTGTGGTTTCAGGCATTCTTGGAATATCTTGGAACGTGTCCCCTGAAGGTAAGGAGAGACTATTGTAACTATATTTTTAAAACAAAAAATGTAAGAAAAGTGGTATTGTTTTATGTTTTTGAAAATATTTTTAATATCGGTAGGACTTAGTGGAAAATTGCTGAGTTCTTATATCTGTTTCTTTGTTCAATCTGTTGTAGTATGTTTTGAAATAGATGAAGAATATCTGACTTCCCACAGATATGCAGTTAGAAAAGGAAGTAGTATTTTAAAAGTCTTTTTTGCGAGATAGCCACTATATTTTAATACAACAGAATATGAAAAGTTGATTGATATTGTTTCAGATTCCACATCTCAACTTACCTAACCAGATACTACCTGTCAGATTGATAAGAGTATTCAAGAAAAATATCCAGTTATCTGAAGAGACTATTAAAATACTCCTCTCTTTTTCAACTACATGTCTATGTGAGGCTCAGTTTTCTTCTGATTCTTTTTTTCTTCTTCTTTTAATTATACTTTAAGTTCTGGAGTTCTGGTGTACATGTGCAGTAAGTGCAGGTTTGTTACATAGGTATACACGTGCCATGGTGGTTTAAGGAAATTATATTCTTCTTTGATACTATACCAAAACTCAACAAGTAGTAACTTCTTAAAGGACACTTGAACTCTATCAGTAACATTTTTGTACTCTGTTACGTTAAAATGTGTTGATCTATCTTGCACTTTGAGTGACTATTTTAAGCCATACATTATTTTGTAACATGCATTAGAACATACAGATAGCATATATGGGAAATATTGGTTCCCTGAGTTATGGAGTTCTCCCAATTGTTGACACATTTTATTATGCAATATAGAAAAATTATGCTGAAGTTAACACCACTCTTACCAGAAAAACTCTTAGCTACTGGGACACTGTCAAGCTCACAGAGGCACACAGATACAAATTTTCCAAAATTCTAGTATTTGCTTGATTTTTCTAAAATTTGCTCAAATTTTATCTTTGGCAGCAAATACTGTCAGTTGTTTCATTTGAGATGACAGGTTTACTTTGCTCACTTTCAAGAAAATAGCTGCCAAATACTCATGCCAATAACTGTAATTTTGTCTGCCAGTCATTTGTTCAGATAAAAATGATGTTCTCTGAGAGAAGCAGCTAGTTTGGCTCACAGAACTAACAGTTATGCACATGCTTTTCCTTGAGACAACCATCACATTTTTTTTTTGGTATTCAGAAATGCTTTATGCAGACTTCCCATTTTATCACACAAACTATTAAAAAAAGTGTATTCAGGGTTGAGATTTAATAAAATTAATAATTTGTACTGCTTCATCAAAGATATTCTTAAGTGAAAATAGCTTTTTTTTTCCTCCTATAAGCTCTTGGTGGTGGGGAATACACATGATGATTTTTATACAGTTGGTGCCAATGTCTTGATTTGTGCCAAGGCATTAGTTTTGTTTACTATTGCTTTTTGGGGCCTTCAATGCAATTTCAACACGGGAAAAAAAAGGCAAAAATGTCATAGTATTTTGAAGGTAGTTTTAATTTCACATGGCCTCTGGAAAGGTCTCAGGAATCCCTAGAAATTTATTGACCACATTTTGAGAATCATTAGTATGTTCAATATATAAATATAAGTTATTTAGCCAGTCTATTATTAAAAGGCATTAATATTAAAGTCTCTATATCCATCTAGATGGGTGACCTGGGTGGAACAAAGTGTACTAAGGTCTTTATATCTTCTTTAGTAAAATGTTTATTCACATCTTTTGTACATTTTCTGATGATATTTTTTGTTTTTTACTTGTTGATTTTTTTTTCTTTTTTTGATGGAGTTTTGCTCTTGTTGCCCAGGCTGGAGTGCAACGGTGCAGTCTCGGCTCACTGCAACCTCCACTGCCAGGTACAAGCGATTCTCCTGCCTCAGCCTCCCGAGTAGCTGGGATTACTGGCACCTGCCACCATGCCTGGCTAATTGTTTTGTATTTTCAGTAGAGACAAGGTTTCACCACATTGGCCAGGTTCGTCTTGAACTCTTGACCTCAGGTGATCCACCTGCCTCAGCCTCCCAAAGTGCTGAGATTACAGATGTGAGCCACCACGCCCAGCCTACTTGTTGAATTTTAAGAGTTCTTCATATATTTTAGATGTTAATCCTTTGATGGATATGTGTCTTACAAATATTTTCTCTCAGAGTGTAGATTGTCATAGCGTTGTTCTCATGGTTTTGCAGAGCAAAATTTTAATGTTGATGTCCAGTTCATTAATTTTTCTTTTTACAAATGGCAGTCTTAATATAAAATCTAAGAACTCTTTGCTTATCCCTAGATATGAAAGATTTTTTCCTAAAATATGTATAGTTTTATGTTTTACATTAAAGTCTGTGGTCCATTTTGAATTAAATTTTGTATAAGGTACGAGACTTAGGTTCATTTTTTGGGCAATGGACATCCAATTGCTCCAACACCATTTGCTGAAAAGCTATCTGTTGAATAGCTTTTGCAACTTTGTCAAAAATTAGTTGGGCATTCATGTGTGGATTATTTCTGGATTCTCTCTTCTGTTCCACTGATCTATATGTCTATTCCTCTCTCAGTACCGCACATTCTCAATTACTGTAACTATGAGTATACTAAGTCTTGAAATCCGGTGGAATGATTCCTCTCATTTTACTCTTAGTTTTCAAAGTTGTTTTAACTCTCCTAGTCCCTTTTCCAATTGACACCAGTTTTGGAAACTCGTCTGTATCTAGAAAAAGCCTTGCTGGTATTTTAATAAGAATTTTATTAAACATGCTTAGCAATTTGAGAAGAAATGACATATTTGTAGGTTGAGTCTTCCAATTCATGAACATGATATGTTTTTCCTTTTATTCAGATCATCTTTTATTTCTTTCATCTGCATTTCATAGTTTTCAACATATGCATCCTATATGTGTTTTATTAGATTTACACTTAAGTTTTTCATTATTTTCAAGAAATTGACAATGATATTGTTTTTATTTCAGCATCCATGTGTTCATTGCTAATATTTTGAAATACAGTTATTATGTGTGTGTTGATCTTATATCCTGTGACCGCATTTTTTTTGTAAATACCTTGAGTATTTACCTTATTGAATTTTGTTTTGTTTTGCTTTGTTGTAAATACCTTAGGAATTCAACAGAATCAGGGTATCTACAAATAGGGACAATTTTATTTATTTCTTTTCAATCTGTATGGCTTTTACTTTTTTTCTTGCCTTATTGCACTGAATAGAACTTCTAGCACTATATTTAATAAAAGCAGTGAAAGTAGACCTCTTTACTTTATTCCAATTTTAAAGCGAAAGTATTCATTATTTATCACTAAATAAGATGTTAGCTGTAGAGTTTTCGTAGATGCCCTTTATCAAGTTAAAAACATTTATACCTATTCCTAGTTTGCTGAGAGTTTTATCATAAATAGGTGTTAAATTTTATTGAATGTTATCCTGTATCACTTGATATGACCATGCGATTTTCTTCTTTAACCTGCTAAAATGGTGAGTTAGATTGATTGATTACTTTTTGGATATTTGTCAGATTTGCATTCCTGGAATAAATCCCACTTGGCCATTGTATATTAGTGTTTTGGGGTGTTCTTGAATTCTGTTTGTTAATATAAGAAATTTTGCAGCTATTCGTGAACAAATAGTTTTCTCTTTTTTCGTACTGTTTGTCTAGTTTTGTTATCAGGCTATTGTTAGCCTCATAAAACTAATTGGAAAATATCATCTCCTACTCTATTTTCTAGATTATATTTTGTAAATTTGATTTTAATTCTTTTTAAATTTTTAATAAAACCTTCAAGTAAAAATATGTGGATATGGCAATTTATTTTTGGAGACTTTAAAAATTAGGAATTCAGTTTTTACAGCAGCTATAAGGCTATGCCAATGATCTATCGTATTGGATGAGTCGTGGTAGTTTGTGTTTGGCAAAGAATTTATCCATTTCATCTAAATTGTCACATTGATGTGTGTACAGTTCCTGGTATTACCTTACTTTTTATGCCTGCCAGGTCAGTAGAAATAGCCCCTGTTTCATTTTTGAGAATTGCAGTTTGTGTCATTTCCTTTTTCATCTATGTTAGTGTTTCTAAAGGTTTGTAAATTCTATCTCTTCAAAGTACAGGTTTTTGTTTCAATCATTTTTCTGCTTTTCTGTTTTTAATTTCATTGATTTCTGCTCTTTATTATGACCTTCCTTCTGCTTATTTTTCACTTTTTTCTAGTTCCTTGAGTAGGAATTTAGATTATTTATTTGAGAATTTGTCTTATCAGCTCAGGCTGCTATTACAAGTTACTACCCACAGGCTGGCTTATTTCTGACAGTTCTACAGGCTGGGAAGTCCGAGAGCTAGGTGCCGGCTAATTGTCTCCCTGGTGAAGGCTCCCCTCCTGGCTTACTGAAGGCTGCCTTCTTGCTGTATCCTCACATGGTGGAGAGAGAAAGCTCTGGTGTCTTTTCCTTTTCTTATGAGGACACTAATACCATAATGGGGGTCTACCCCATGGCAGCATCAAACCTAATCACTTCCCAAATGTCCCACCTCTTAATACCATTATGTTGGGAGTTAGGATTTTAACATATGAATTTGGGGGAACACAAACATTCAGTTTATAATATAATTTTACTCTTTTGTAATTATGCATTTTTGCCACGTATTGTCCTCTCAATAGTGATTTAGCTACATAAAACAAATTTTGATATTTTCTATTTTCAATTTCATTAAATTTAATGTATTTTTTAAAAAATTTATTTTGAGACTTCTTTTTTGACACAGATTAAAGTCTATTGTTAGTTCCTAAGAGTTTGAGGATTTCTTGTTATCCTTTTGTTACTAATTTCTAGTTTGATTCAATTATGTATCGAGGACACATTCTGCATGTTTTTGTTTATTTTAATTTTTTGGATTTTTTTTTATAGCCCAAGATGTTTTGTGTATGTTTTGAGAGCAATTGAAAAGAATGTGTGTTGTCTTGTTGGGTGAAGTTGGCTACCAATGTGGGTTACTTGAACATTTTTTTGGAATTAAATTTTCATTTATTTATTGTGTTTTGAGTGTATCTCTCTGTGTAGGTTTTTTAGTTGTTGCTCTAGGTATTACTCTCCATTTATAATGTAATAGTTTTAAATATTTTCTCTACACTCGTTTAAAATCACACAGTGTTATAAAATCAGACAGTGTTATAATTTTTGTTTTAACCATCACTAATAATTTAGAAGTCTCAAGAGGAAAAGGATGTATACTGTATCTACCCATATTTATGTTGCTTACTATATTCCTTTTTTCTTCCTGGTATTTCAAGATTCCTTCTTTTATCATTTACCTTCTGTTTAAAGAGCTTCCTTTAACTATTCTTATAGGGTAGCTTTGGTGGTGACAAATTCTCTTAATTTTACTTTATCTTAGAATGTGTTAATTTACCCTTTAATCCAAAGGGATATTTTTGCTGGATATAGGATACTGTGTTGACAGTTCTTTATTTTCAGCACTTGAGAAATACTGTGCCACTTCCTTTTGGACTCCATGGCTTCTGATGAAAAAAATCACTGTTAATTAAATACTTTCCCCTCTAGGTAAGGTGTTGTTTCTCTCTTCCTGTGTTTAGGATTTTTTTCTTTGTGTTAGTTTTCAGAAGTCTGACTATAATGTGTCTTGACATGGATTTCTATGGGTCTGTCTTGTTTGGAATTTGCTTAGCTTCTGAAGCCTGTAGGTTTATATCTTTTGCTATTTGGGGGATTTTTTCAGCCATTTTTTTTTAGTAAGTTTTAGGCACCAGCCACTTTATCCATTCTTTTTGGGATTCTGATGACACAAAGATTAAATCTTTTGTTATAGTCCTATAGGTAGCTAAGACTTTGTTCATTTTTTCCATTCTACTTTCTCACTGTTGTTCAGAATAGCTACTTGCTATTGTTCTATTGTCCAGTTCACTGACTCTTCCCTTTGTCCCTTGCATTCTGCTGTTTTACACTGGGTTCTTCTTTATATCTTCTATTTATCTGATAAGGTGTTCTATTTATTAACAGAGGCTCCCTAATTTTTTAAAATTTGTTTCAGAATGTTTTAAATTTGTAGTTGTTGAAGCATTTTTATGATGGCTGCTTTAAAATCTTTGTCAAATAGTTCTAACACTTCTGTTATCTCACTGTATGCATCTGTTGATTGTCTTCCTTAACTCAGTTTGAGATTTTCCTGATTCTTGATGTGAGTCTATGTTATGAGACTCTGGATTTTATTTTTCCCTAAATATTTTTTATTAAACAGATTTATTTATATGTAATTCATATAACATACAATTCACCTATTTAAAGTAAACAATTAAATGGTTTATAGCAGGGATCCCCAACCCCCAGGCCATGGACCCGGTATCTGAGCCCTGCCTCCTGTCAGATCAGTTGTGGCATTAGACTCTCATAGGAGCACAAAGCCTATTGTGAACTGCACATGCCAGGGATCTAGGTTGTGTTCTCCTTATGAGAATCTAATGCCTGATGATCTGTTACTGTCTCCCATCACCCTCAGATGGGACCATATAGTTGCAAAGAAACAGCTCAAGGTTGTTCTATATTATTGTGAGTTGTATAATTATTTCATTATATATTACAATGTAATAATAATAGAAATAAAGTGCATAATAAATGTAATGTACTTGAATCATCCTGAAACCATCTTCCTCCAACCCCTCACCTCTGGTTCATGGAAAAATTGTCTTCCACAAAACCAGTCCCTGCTGCCAAAAAAGTTGAGAACTGCTGGTTTATAGTATATTCCCAGATATGTGCCACCATCACTGTAATCAATTTTATAACATTTTATAACCTCAGAAAGATACTGCATATTCTAGCTATCACTCTTCTATCCCCCATCCCTCTAGTCCTAAGCAATCACTAATATACTTTCTCTATAAACATTTCATATAAATGGAATCATATAATATTTGGGCTTTTGAAATTAGCTTCTTTCACTTAGGATGTTGCTTTTAAGGCTCATGCATGTTATAACATGTGTCAATACATCATTCTTTTTTATGACTAAATAATATGCCATCATATAGACAGACCATATTTTGTTTATTTGTTCATCAGTTGGTGGACATTTAGGTTGTTTCCAACTTTTGACTATTATGAATAATATTGCTATAAACATTCATGTATAAGTTTCAGTTGGACACAATTTTTATCTTGGGTGTATACCTGAGAATGGAATTGCTGAGTCAATGACAACACTTTATTTAATCATTTGAATAACTTTCAGAATGTTTTCCAAAATTCTACACCATTTTACATTCCCACCAACAGTGTATGAGAGTTTCTATTTATCCATACTCTCAATAAAACTTGTTATTATCTAAAGTTTTGATTCTAACCATCCTACTTGGTTGGCTGTATCATTGATCTCATTGTGAGTTTTAGTTTGCATTTCTCTGATGACAAATGACACTAAGCACCTTTTCACCTGCTTATTAGCCATTTGAATATCTTCCTTGAAGAGCAGTCTTTTTGGATCCAGTGTCCATTTTTAAATTGGATTATTTTTCTTTTTATTATTGATCTCTAAGTATTTTTGTATATTCTAGATATGAGTCCCTTATCAGACATGTAATTTATAATTTTTTTTTCATTCTGTGGGTCTTTTTTTACTTTCTAATAGTGTCTTTCGAAGCACAAATTTTTACTTTTGGTGAAGTCCAACTTACCCTTTTTGTATTAGTCCGTTTTCATATTGCTATAAAGAACTGCCCAAGACTGGGTAATTTATAAAGAAAAGAGGTTTAATTGACTCACAGTTTGGCATGGCTGGGGAGGCCTCAGGAAACTTACAATCATGGCAGAAGGTGGAGAGGAACCAAGGCACCTTCTTCACAAGGTGGTGGGAAGGAGAAGTGTTGAGCGAAGTGGGGAAGAGCTCCTTATAAACCATCAGATCTCGTTAGAACTCACTCACTATCACAAGAACAGCATGGGGGAAACCACACCATGATTTAGTTGCCTCCACCTGGTCTCCCCCTTGACACGTGGAAATGATGGGGATTTGGGGGATTGCAATTCAAGATGAGATTTGAGTGGGCACACAAAGCCTAACCATATCACTTTTCACTGTTGCTTTTATTTTTGGTGCCAAAATCTAAATCGGACAAATGCCAAATCTGAGATCATGCAGATGTACTTTTAAGTTTTCTTCTAAGAGTTTTATAGTTTTAGCTCTTCTATTCAGGTTTTTGTTTCATTTTAAGTTAATTTTTGTATGTTATGCAGTAAAGGTTTAACTTCATTATTTTGCATATGGCTATTTAGTTTTCCATCGCCATTTGTTAAAAAGACTATTCGTTCCCCATTGTATAGTTTTGGCACCTTTGTAAAGAATTAATTGAATATAGACAAATTGTTTTATTTTTGGACTCTCAATTTTATTCCATTGATGTATATATCTATTCTTATGCCAGTGCTGCACTGCCTTGTTTGCCATTGCTTTACAGTAAGTTTTGAAATCAGGAGCTGTAAGTCTTTCTACATTCTTTATTTTGTTAAAGATTGTTTTGGTTTTGGAGGTCCCTTGTAATTTCATATGATCTTGAAGATTGACTTTTCAATTTTTGCAAAAAAGAGTGATCATTGGAATTTGATAGGGATTGTTAATTCTGTAGATTATGTTAGGTAGTATTGACATTTTAACAATATAAGAACTTGTTACCATACATATGGGATATCTTCTATTAATTTAGGTCTTCCAGTGATATTTTATAGGTTTCAGTGTACAAGTTTTTCATCTTGGTTAAATATATTCCTAGGCATTTCATTATTTTGATAATGTTATAAGAGGAATCGCTTTCTTAATTTATTTTTTGGATTGTTTATTAGTGGTGGATAGGAACACAGCTGATTTACGTGTTTTGATCTTGTACACTGAAACTTTGCTTAATTCATTTATTGGTCCTAGCAGTTATTTTGTGGAATATTTGGGATTTTCTATATATAGAATCCTGCCATCTGTGAACAGAGGTGTTTTTCTTCTCTTTCAATTTGGATGCCTTTTATTTCTTTTTCTTGTCTGGTTGTCCTGTCTAGAACCTTCAGTACATTGCTGTCTAGAAGTGTTGAAAGTGGACATCCTTGTCTTGTTCCTGATGTTAAGGAACATTCAGTCCTTCACCACCAAGTATAATGTTGTATAATGTTGGCTGTGGACTTTTTGTAGTTACCCTTTATGAGATTGAGAAAATTCTTTTTCCCCACCCAGTTGGTTGACTTTTTGTTTTGTCATGAAAGGGTTTTAAATTTTTGTCAATTTTTTTAAATGTCTATTGAAATTATTACATGGTTTCTGTTATTTATTCTATTATGTGGTGTAGTACATTAATTATTTTCAGTTGTTAAGCCAACTCTGCATTACTAGGCTAAATCTCACTTGGTCATGGTATATAATTTTTTATATGTTGGTGGATTCAGTTTGTTGATATTTTGTTGGGGATTTCTACATTAATATTTATATGAGATATTGGTCTGTAGTTCTCTAGTAAAGCCTTTGTCTGTTTTCTGTGTCAGGGTAATAACTGGTCCCATAGAATGTGTTGGGAAGTGTCCCTTGCTCTTCTAATTCTTGGAAGAGTTTTTGAAAAACTGCCGTGAATTCTTCACTAAGTGGTGGTTAGGATTCAGCAGTGAAGCCATCTGGGCCTGGGCTGGGCTTTTCTTTGTGGGTAGGTTTTGTTGTTGTTGTTGTTTTACTAATTCAATTTATTTTCTTGTTATTGATCTATTCCAATTGTCCATTTCTTCTTGAGTCAGTTTTGGCAATTTGTGTCTTTCTAGGAATTTGTTCATCTAATCTAAGCTATTTAATTTATTGGCATACAATTGTTTATAGTATTTTTTTATAATCTTTTGAAAAAATTCAGTAAGGTCAGTAGTATTGTCTCCTTCATTTCTGATCCTAGTATAATAATTTAAGCCTTTCCTCTTTTTTCTTGGTCAACCTAGCTAAAGACTGCCAATTTTATCGATCTTTCCAAAGTACCAGATTTTAGTTTCATTAATTTTATTTATTGTTTTTTATATTCTGTAATTCATTACTTTCTGCATTAATATTTATTTTCCCCTTCCTTCTACTTGCTTTAGATTTAGTTTGCTCTTTTTTCCCCAGTGTCTTCAGATGGAAGTTTCAGATATTGATTTAACGTGTTTCTTTTTTTTCTTAATATTGGCATTTATAACTATGAGTTTTCCTTTATGCTCTTCTTTAGTTATAGCCTACGTGTTTTGGTATGTTGTGTCTTTATTTTTATTCATCTCAAAAAGTTCCCTTTTGATTTCTTCTTTGACCCATTAGTTATTTAGGAATGTGCTTTTAAATCTACACTTATTTTTGAGTTTGCCAAATTTCTTTCTGCTAATTGATTTCAAATTTTGTTCCGTTGTGATTAAAAGACATGCTTTGTATTATGTCTATCCTTTTAAATTTACTGAAGTTTGTTTTGTGGCCTCAGCTTCTCATCCTTTTGAGCTATTTGAAAATTTGCATGTATCTCAAGGTCCAAAAAATAGAAAAAAGCATAAATGTCGGGCACACCTCAGTGAATTCCTCTTCAGAATCTTGGCTCCTCAAATTCAGCTCTCTTGGTAGCTCTCTGCTGTCTTAGAGCAGATTGTTCAAATCTAGGTCTTTTCAGTCATTCTTAGGAGGAAGGTTGAGCTACTGCAAGCTAGTTCATCATAGTTGGAGATGGAAGCAACCCATAAACACGTATGTGAATGTATTCATATGTGAGTGTGTCAGCATAGGTGACGCCTGTATTTATATGAATCTCATTTGACCAACAAATTCTGTAACCACTATTTCCTCTGTCAATTGGTCAGTATAGAGACGTTCTTATCTAAAATCACAACTATCACTCACGCTTGTAATCCCAGCACTTTGGGAGGCTGAGGCAGATGGATCACCTGAGGTCAGAAGTTCAAGACCAGCCTGGCCAATGTGGTGAAACCTGTCTCTACTAAAAATACAAAAATTAGCCAGGCATGGTGGTGGGCGCCTGAAATCCCAGCTACTTGGGAGGCTGAGGCAGGAGAATTGCTTGAACCTGTGAGGCAGAGGTTGCAGTGAGCCAAGATTGTGCCACTGCACTCCATCCTGGGTGACAGAATGAGACTGTGTCTCAAAAAATAAAATAAAATAAAATAAAATAAAATAAAATAAAATAAAATAAAATCACAACTATCATTAAGCTGTGACTTGTTTTCTCCTTTCTCCAGGATTTTGTGTCATGTATAGAGAACTACAGAAGAAGAGGACAAGAGCTATATGCATCTTTATACAAAGACCATGTGCAAGTAAGAAACAAAACATAGGCTTTCTCTATACAGCAAGCTGGAATCCACCTTGAACCTGAAAAATAATTGGAAGGGCCTTTGGTTTACGTTCTGGATTGCTCACCAGGCTTGCACCATGTTGGGGTTTTGCATTTTATCCTAAATGCAATGGGTTGCCACTGACAAGGGCAGGCTTAGATATTTAAAGTACCTATCTAGGCCTGACTGCTGTACAATCTAGGCAAAGAACACTGGCTCTCATGCCAGTCAGAGCTTTATTTGAATTCTAAGTCTGCCCCTTTCTATGCCAGTGGTCTGAGCCTCTGTGTGCTCATCTCTAAGCTGGAATAAGTCTTCCTACCTGTGAAGATTTAAAAGCAAGTGTGAAGCACCCAGACTGTGGCTGATAGAGAATGGATAACCCATGTGTGGTTATAGAATAGCTAAGAAGTTTATTTTTATTTGGTGTTACTGTTATTAATAAAAATTTAACATATTGCTAAAAATAGAACACAACATACAGTCTTAAAACCCTGTTGAATATATTATTTACCCAGCAATTTCTTTGTCCCAAAGACAGTGTGAAGTATAAAAAAATGCAGAGATTATGATACTCCTGTGTCTTGAAGGTGTTTGAAACTTGTAGATGAAACCCAGAGTAAAGAATTGCCCACAATACATGGTGATGAGCTCAATGATAGGATGTTCTACTATGGGGAAAGGAGCGATGGGGTATAAGGAGCCATTAGTGTGTCCTGGGTGGGCCACAGAGCAGGAAGGCTTACACATGGTGCCCGGTGCCAGGAAACAGAAGAGGCACTAATCATCTGAAACTGAGTTGCCTTGTCTAGTTTCCCCCTTAAAAGCCCACAACATGCCCCTGGGAAGACCCATTCATGGATGTGCAGCCTGAACCCCAGAAACACACAGCTTAGCAACATAGCCTCCCAGGCTCTCCTGAGTGATGGGAGCAGCAGCTTACCAGACAGGACACTTGTGAGAAACGAGGTTTGGTGTGTACAGGATGTGATCATGGCTGTGATAGTCAGAGGGATCAGCAGGCATGTCTAGTTTTTCTGAGTGCACAAGCTGGTCTTTCACAGACCCTTTGGTTGGACAAGGGTTTTCTCTGTGGGCATCTACCCCACTCCAACATTGCTGACTGTGCTGCACAGCTGGGTAGGGTGTCTTGCTGGCCTATATGTGTGTCATCTGTGCCTATTGGACAGACCATTGCACGTTAATGACTCACAACATGGATTGACAGATTTCACTCAGGGATAGCAATATGGCTGATAAATTTAATTGCCACTGAGGGGGAAATAAGATGAATCTTGTAGGATTGCATCCTTTATTGGTGGACATCCTCATCACCACTACACCATTTTGAGATGGAGGATGTGGTTTATCTAAACTTCCTAATCTGCATCTCGTCTAGAGTGCAACCATTTCTGCTCCAATGGTTAGAAGAGCCTGGGAGATACAGTTATGGCCAGGAGAGATGCCCTGGGGTACTTTGTGAAATTCTGTTGAGATCTGTGAGATTATAGGTTCTTGTGGGAAGGATGCAACTCCCTCAAGCCCAGAAGGAAGGGATCCAGCCACCTGAAAGGTTAGCCTGTCTCATCTTCAGCAGCAGGGCTGACTGGAGTTCAGAAAGGACTTGAGAAAGTTGTGCAATTTTCCTGTTGATTGAGGTATTTTTGAGAAAATCAGCATTTGGAAGCTAATCCACAAGGATACTTTCCAAGTATTTAAATATTTAAGTCAGGTTGTTTTGATATTTGAAAGAATGAAGATATAATAACATCTGCCATAGATAATGGGATGTGGACCTTTGCCCTGCTTTTTTAAGGAGTAGTATGCTTTCCCAAGAAAGGCCCATTCCACTTCCAGAAAAGTCAGGTCCAAACTCTGGACAGAGATTAGGCTTAAGAAATCTGCCACGTCCTTTGAGACAGCTTCTCCCAGGTGCACCAAATGAGGCCCTCCTAAGAAGGGGAGATTCAGGGGCCCTTGCCCACAGGGTGGCCAGTAACACACCACGCAGGACTTTTCTAACCAGGCACTTTACCCACAACTGAGAGGTGACTGGAGATGGCAGCAGCCCCCAGCATAAGAAGGCATCATTGCCTAGTGCCCTGGAAGTTAACCCAAGCATCATTATATCCCATTATTATATCAACAGCAAACATTGCAATTCAAATAGTCAATCAGCCAATTTTTTTTTTTTTTGATCCAGAAGTTCTGACAAAAAGTTGCCTCTACAGTCTGGCCCTGTTCAGATTCCCCTTTGCCTTGTCCACATTATCTTCATTCTCTTCTCTGTGGCCCAGCCTCTCTTGCTCTGTCTGTTACATACTTAGGCCATCCAGTTCTTATGTTGAATCTTCATTATAATTTGCAGAAATGACTTATCCTGCCTACACAGTCTTTACTGGTTGGAGTTCTTTGTGAGATGCCTGACAACTCAGAAATGGCCACTGTCTTCTGTCCCACTCTCTTCTAGGGCCTCTAGTTTTCTTCTCTTGTTCAGTCTCTATCTACTCATCGAGTATTTATCACAGCTCTGTCAGTTAAAAATATTGGAAACTCAACTCAGACTGCCTTAGGCAACAAAAAAAATGTCTTGTTTTACTGAAGAATGCAGGGAAACGCAGAATTCAAGCAGCGCTGGATCAAGTTCCGTGCTCTGCTTCCTCTGTGTGGGCTCCTGAGGGTGCCATTCCCAGCCCTAGGGGGTGGTGCCTGTTGGCCCATCCTATAACCATTCATAACAACTCAGATTATAGAGACTTGGGTGAAGTGTTCATCTTTGAAGGCTGGTCAACCCCACTGAAGTAGCAGGGACTGAAAGTAGGGAAGGGCTGGGTTTCCAAAGGTTAATCTAAGTGTTGCTACCCAAGGGTTGCTGTGATTCGAAAATCATAACTGGTCAAGTGTGGTGGCTCATGCCTCTAATCCCAGTGCTTTGGGAGGTTGGGCAGTAGGATTGTTTGATGACAGGAGCTCAAGGCCAGACTGGGCATCATTGCGAGACCCCAACTCAAAAAAAAGTAGTTAAAAAGACATTAGCCATGTATAGTGGCACCTTTAGTTCTAGGTACTCAGGATGCTGGGGTGGGAAGATTGCTTCATCCCAGGAGTTGGAGGTTACAGGTTACAGTGAGCTATGATCATGCCACTGCTTTCTAGCCTTCTAGCCTGTATGACAGAGAAAAAGACCTTGTCTCTGAAAAAAAAAAAAAAAAGAAAGAAATTGTAGTTGTCCCCCAACATAACAGAATCCCTGCCTGTGAGTCTGTGGGCCTTAAGTGTGGCATTTGGCCCACTTGCAGTTTGAATAGAAAGAGGGCCTTACACTGTGCAGAAACATGGGCATTTCAGAGCACCTTTGCAGGTGTGGAAACTCAGGACTTTTGCTATTTAGTCATCTGACTTCCTCTGCCCTGGGCCACCTGTAACTTGCTATCATGGACTAAATAATCACATCTCTCTCAGGGATCACACCATTGTCTGACTACAGATATTCAAGGCAACATGTGTGCTCTGTGATGAAGACCCAGGGAGCTGTGCATCCCCAGGTTGCATAGGTGGAGACTTGGGGTGGATATGCGTTCTTTTTTTTTTTTGATGGAGGCTCGCTCCTTCCCCCAGGCTGGAGTGCAGTGGCGCTATCTCGGCTCACTGCAAGTTCCGCCTTCCCGGTTCACACCATTCTCCTGCCTCAGCCTCCAGAGTAGCTGGGACTACAGGCACCTGCCACCACGCCTAGCTAATTTTTTTGTATTTTTTAGAAGAGACGGGGTTTCACCGTGTTAGCCAGGATGGTCTCGATCTCCTGACCTCGTGATCCGCCTGCCTCAGCCTCCCAAAGTGCTGGGATTACAGGCATGAGCCACTGTGCCTGGCCGGATATGTGTTCTTAAAAAACTAATTTGAAGCTAAGGCTGGACAACCCAATAGCTTGAGATTATTCATCCTCCATGAAGCTCCGTATGTTACTACAAATGCAAAAGTACAAATGTCACTACAATCTCCAGGGAACTGAAATATTTCTGCCAAACGAGTGTTCATTCTATGTGACCAAGTCTCTGTAAAAAGCTTTGGATAGTCAGTTGGATAGTCATTATTTTTCTGGTGGCCCCCCCCTTTTTTTTTTTTTCTGAGACAAGGAGGGTCTTATTTTGTTGCCCAGGCTGAAGTACAGTCATGTAAATCATAGCCCACAGAAGCCTTGAACTCCTGGGCTCAAGAGATCCTCCTGCCTCAGCCTCCCAAATAGCTGAGAGTACAGTCATGCACTAACATGCCCAGTTATTTCTTTAATTTTTTTGTAGAGACTGGGTCTTGCTATGTTGCCCAGGCTGGTCTTTAACTTCTGGCCTCAAGAAATTCTCCCACCTTGGCCTCTGAAAGCTCTGGGATTAGAGGCATGCAATACAATGTACATCTTGGAGTTTCTTATTAACCAATTGGAGTACTACATAAAATGCTAGCACTGTTTGGGATATGAATTTAAGAACTGTAGAGAAACAAAATGATCTTGTTTTGAAATAGGATTAGCTTCATTCACAGTGATAACACTGATTACTTAAGCTGAGTAAGGTACCATATTAAGCTCTTGAAAATATTGTCCCATTTAATCATTCTAGAAGCCCGTGATTATTATTATGGTACTATTATTAACCACATTTGACTGATGAGGAAGTTGAAGATCCTCCAGATTGAACTGCTGGTGATTCACAGAAACATGATGGATGATCAGGTCCATCAAATGCCAGAAACCACCTGCTGGGCACTATCCCCCACCCCAAAGCCATGCTTTCATGGGAATGCCTCTGGCAAGTTATGAGAACAATTTACTCATTTAAAATGGCCAAGATTTGCAAGGCCTACATCTATAAGTCTTCCAGTTTTTTGAAATGCTAGCAGATATCATGCACTCATAAAATAATAGCCCCTCAGCAAAGTAATCTAGCTCCCATGCTCAAGGAAGTCTTTGGAATCCAACAGACCAGGTTTAAATCTCTGTTTGGCCACCTGTTGGCTTTGGAGAAGGCACTTCTCCTTTGCAGACTTAGCATCATCATGGGGATGATCGAAAATACTTGTGGTACCACTGGGTAGAGGAAATGAGATAAAGCAGGTGCAGGGCTCAGCCTAACACATGATAATGAGTGTCTTTTCTGTTCATGTTGTTATGCTTCTTGTCATTAGCACTTCACCTTTTCATTTTCTGAAAACATTAAATGTGGGACAAATTCCATAAAATATTTGAATAATTGCAAAAGTGTATCCTGCAAAGTTGACTCTACTGTGCAAACTGAACTGAACTGCTTCTTTGACAGGTGATGCATGTAACTTTAATGTGGTCTATAAATGCAGGTTGGGGGTATCTATGTATTATTAGAAAAGTTTGAGTCATACTGTAGTAGCAGATGTGGCAGTCAGAGACCACAGATGCAAACTGTGAGGATCTTATAGCTATTAAATGAGATTCTTTGCATTACTATGAAAGGTTTTAGCTCCTGTGAATATTCTAGAATCTCTGAACATTCTGGAATCTATGACATTAGGATTGAAAGGCCCTTAGACATCATTCAGGCCAGGTCTGTCATTTCGTTGGAGATTCTGAGATCCAGAGATGGGAGTCACTTGCTCAAATCAATCAGTTGTCTTGAGGGCTTCTAATTCCCACTCCACTCCAGTTCAGGCAACTGGAAAAAAGTACATTCAAATTCCCACTCCACTCTAGTTCAGGCAACTGGAAAAAAGTACATTCAGCTTCACTTTTGAAGGGTGGGATTGTGGTGAGATTCATGTCCATTTGGTAAAATAGCTGTCCAGTCCATGCTGATGAGCTGCTACAGGACCTTCCAGACCTGTTGCTTTCTGTCCATCACCAGTAGCCTCATGGCTCTGAAGGCCAAAGGGCAGACAACTTTCTCCTCCCCTAACTTGGATTAAGATATCTTAAAGCTGAGCAACTGTTTCCTTATAGTCCTGGCTGCAGTGGGTACCCTACACATTCTGAGGGTGTAGAGAGAAGGTATCTTTCTCAAACATTCATGGGAGACTTGGCTTATTCACCCCAGGAGGTTTGGGGCCAGGCCCATAAGGCCCATAAGGCAAATGTATCCAGGGTGACTCTGTTTCTGCTCCCCAGAGGCGAAAATGTGGCAACATCAAGGCAGCCAACGCCTGGGCCAGGATCCAGGAGCAGCTTTTTGGGGAGCTGGGCTTGTGGAGCCAGGGGGAAGAAACCAAGCCCTGTTCCCCATGGGAACTCGACTGGAGAGAAGGACCAGCTCGAATGAGGAAACGCATCAAACGCTTGTCTCCTTTGGAGGCCCTGAGCTCAGGAAGGCACAAGGTAGGAGTCAGGCGCAGTGGGACAGTGCTGGTTCCAGGTAGGGCCTGATAGGAAAGCAGCTCCTGAGCTTCCCCATCACATGTTGTTTATATCAGGCTAAGATAACACATGCAGTTAAATGTAGGAGAGTCCCAAAATTTATTCTCAATGCCATTTAAGAGGAGAAAAGCATCACTAACCCTCCTAGGTACATAGCAGGGACACTGTAACTACAGCCTGCATGAATGAATAAATATTGAGTGTTGAGTGGTGAGTGGTTCTTACCTATGCTGCAGGCACAGCCCTGTGCTGCAGTCCACACAAGTCCTGTGGAATCATCTGGATGCAAGTGCTTGGAAAGGGCCAGGGGAAGGCTATTGTCTGCTCGCACAAGTTACTTGTTATTGGGCAGTTGTAACCCATACTGCTATAAGCATTACTGCAAATCCCATAACAAATTTTACGATGAAAATCTCATGAACTTGACTGTTTCTGCAATTTTGAGCCAGTGATCCACTCATTCCAAACAACATTGACTTCCCAAGCAACAGAATCTGGGTAGTCCCTGGGAGTTTGCTCTAATGAAGCTTGAACTGTGTCGCAAACTCTTATTTTGCCTTTTAAAAGAAAAGAAGCCAGTTGGATTCATTTGGTAGTAGATATAGGAAATCTGTTAATAGTTTTTCATGTCTTTATTGAATGATCATAATTTAAAATATCCTCAAAGGCGGCCTTCCAAACACCAGAATGCTGGATTTTTTTCTTCTGCATTCATCACAAGTAACAATGTTGAGTTTATTCTCTCGTCTGTAACCTCAGCATCTTTTACTCATGCTAAAAATCCTTTGTAAAATCTAATGAAAAAATTAGATTTCATTTATTCAGTAGATACTTAAATTTTCTAAGTATTGTCAATAAACATTTGGTGGTGTGTAGTATTTTCCCTCACTACATTTTTTAGGAATAGGAAGCAAAAAAAAATAAAAAATAAAAAAAATAAGTAGCCTGCTCACTGTGCTGGTGACAAAGCCAAGGGCTGGCTATGAAACCTGGTCTCTGGTCTCTGGGGCTGTCCAGCCCTGGAACCTCCCCTGGTCCCCTCTCCAGGGTGTCCTACACAGAGACATTGAGGATGCTATCTAATCCCATCTGGGCCTCTTCTTTGGTAATTACCGTAAGTCCTACTTAATGGAAGATTGTGGGTTTTTTCCCCTTTGACTCAGGAACATTCATACTTGCATTTTATTGTGGTCCTTTAGGATTTAGTGTTTCTCTCCCTTTGCATCTGAGTCTTGCATAATTTGAAGGGGTCACATGCATGTGCGTGTTTGTGAATCTGTGGAATTGGAGGTGAGTGAAGCATAGATGTAGCATCCAGGATTTAATTTTTCTTTTCAATGTCCTTATTTCAGGAAAGCCAAGACAAAAATGATCATATTTCTCAAACAAATGCTGAAAACCAAGGTATTCAGTTTATCTATTTTTTCCTTTAATAGTTAAGCTAATTATTGGTTTTATTTAATATTTTATTAAAGATATTAAATTAATATTTTAGAAGAGGAAAATGCTATTGTAGCCAGCCCTGGGACTTATTGTTACTGCACTTCCAGAGAGAAGACAAGTCGATTTCAGCCCTAGACACTTGTTAGGGAAAACATTTTCTATTAAGGTTGCAACAATAACAATTTTTGGGGAGAAACAGTCTTGTCAATTTGCTATATCAGGGAGATCTTAAAAGTATTCCCAAACAATTTTTGAGACAGGGTCTTGTGCTGTCACCTAGGCTGGGGTGCAGTGGCATAATCACAACTCACTGCAGCCTCCACCTCCTGGGCTCACACAATCCTCCTGCCTCAGCCTCCAGAGTAGCTGGGACTACAGGTACACATCACAATGCCCAGATAATGTTTGTAATTTTTGTAGAGATGGGGTTTTGCCACATTGCCCAGGCTGGTCTCCAACTCCTAAGCTCAAGTGATCCACCTGCCTTGGCCTCCCAGAGTGCTAGGATTATAGCCATGAGCCAGCACACCTGGCCAATGACTACTTGTTACTGCTGATCAAACTTTTCTCATTTCCTGACTAATGGATTTGTATTGAGCTTGCTACCTTGCCTGTCTGCAGTAATACAAGCCCAGAAGTGAGGATCTTGGGCTCTGATCCCCAGGTGATTTGGGGTCTTATTGTGGCACAGAGGATAGGATGATATTGTGATACCTGTTTGCCTCTCGTCTCTCCACCCCAAGCCCTACAACTCTCACATGGAATGATTGCCTGCCTGCTCCAGCTCCAGAGGTGGGAGTTGCAGAGAGTGCAGTGGTGGAAAGCATGAACTGATCTTTTTGTGGATGATGGCCATGGGCTGCTGTGTCCTCTCATTCTTGACATGCAGAGCCCCTGGGTGTCTGTGACCCTGGGCCTTCATGGTATTTCCAGTATGCACCCTGAGTAGGGAGCTCAGCCAAAGGAGAAAAAAGGTCCTGTGGTTCTCCACCATGCCTCTCCTACACACCTCTCCCTGCATGGGGGAAAGCTATGAGGGTTTGCGTGAGCAGCAGACACTTTCAATCATCCAGTACAGAAAAGATAATGAAAGTAAATGGACCAAATTGTAAACAGTGGAGCCAAACAGACTAGAGATGAAAAAACCAGACCCTTATCCCAGAGAGACTTTATTCAGATTCTACCTCTAGTTCTTAGAAGCCATATGATCTTGTACAAAGTAATTAGCCTGTTTCAGCTTTTCCATTTGTCAAGTGAGGATGAAATAGTATCTCCAACCAAGATGGGACAACATTTTAAAATGTCATCAGAAGTATCTGGCACAGAGAAAGGGCTTACTAAATGGGACCTGTTATTATTAGCACTATCTCTGGGTGCATGGGTGAGATTTGTTTTATTTCTCACAACTTCATATCTTTTCCAAGTTTTTTTTACAATAAAAGGATATTGTTTCTATCATGAGAAAAAACAGCAATATTCAAAGAGTGAATGAAGTGAAATTCAGAGAAAGCAAATCCTAGCTGGGCCTCTGAGGAGTTGCTTTACTGACTAACGAGGGTGAATTTGGAAATGTTGCCCTGTGGTCACTGGAAGTGGCTGAACAGCTAGGCCTGGGCATATCTGGGCCCTCCAGGATAAGTCAACTGGAAGGTATTTTGACCACACCCCAGGGTGCCCCAGATGTGTGGTGTCCATTTCCAGAAGCAGTGGAGGGGCACAGTGAGAGATCCACGCTCTTCACTTCGGCCCTGGAGCCTTGCTGCTCCTTGGTGATGTAGGCACATGCTGTGCACCGGCCCTTACCATGTCAGGTGGCTCCTGTCAACACCACGTGTCCCTTTATGCTGCTGCAGATGAACTGACACTGAGGGAGGCTGAGGGCGAGCCGGACGAGGTGGGGGTGGACTGCACCCAGCTGACCTTCTTCCCAGCCTTACACGAAAGTCTGCACTCAGAAGACTTCTTGGAACTGTGTCGGGAAAGACAAGTTATTTTACAAGAGCTTCTTGATAAAGAAAAGGTAATATACCCCATTGCAATAGCCTTTAAGATTTTTAAGTTAGTTGTTAAGATTGTCAGACAGGAGAAAACCAAGCTTTCGCCACTTACATGGGGAATGAGATCTCCATTTGCTATGAAAACTTTCAACACAATAATCAGTGAAAAAAGGGATAGATTCCTAAATTTGTTGGCCCAGAGAAAGAGTGCAAAGGGAAGTCTATACATCCTGCATCAAAATATTTAATAGGTGTACCACAAACTGTTAAGTGAAAAATACTCTAACTTCCTACTTTGACCTTCATAACAACCTGAAAGGCAAGTTTCAAGTTGAGAATTCTTGATCTTCTGGCAGTTCAGCATCTTGGCCCCCTGTTTGTGGCCTGACCACCCTGAGAGGTCCCACACCTTGAGGGGTCTTGGGTGCATGTGTTTGGACACCCCAACCCATATATCCGCACTGTCCCTATGCCTCGGCCTCACCTTGGCCACCACTCAAGCCTAGGGGTAAGCACACTTGTGGCACCATTAGCCTTCAAAAGGGTGGCTCTGGGGATGAAGTGTACAGGCCCAGGAGGCAGGCTGGGGACCAGGTGGCAGGGAAACCCGGGGTCCTGGGTGCCTGGAGCTGGGTTGGCGGAGCCCCACTCTTCGTGTGTGTGTCCTCTTGGCCTGGCTGGGGAGGTCCCAGAGAAGGACCCCTCTTCCCCAAGTCTAAGAATGCAATGGAAGATGAAGCACATGTCTTAGAGTAGAACCGACCTCAGTTCTAGTCCCAACTTGGCCACATATTAAACCGCATGTCACCTAACCGTTGTCAGCCTCAGTTTTCTCATCTTTAATGTGGAGTTCTGGCCACCATCTGATAACATTCTGCTCAGGCTTAAATGGGCCAATGGAAGTACAGGGACTACTTCAGAGCTGGGCATAAGAGAGGTGCTCATCAAAGGTGAGTTGTTTTCCCTTTCTGAGGGTTGGGTGGTTGAAGGCTTGGTGGATCTCAGGGTCTCTGGGTGAATCGGGCTTTTCCATAGGGATATAAGTGAAGGAGATACCCACAGAGGAGCAGGCAGGCTGGGACTGGTGCGCCACAGGGGACACACAGAGATAAATGCACGAGAGCTGGAGGCTAGTCTGGCCCCAGGGTGAATGGGAGTGGATCTGAACCAAGACCCAGGGACTGAGGGAGAGCCTGGACCTCCAGGAATAGGTCCTAGGCTCAGAGAACCTGGGAGGGGCATAAGCAAATGAATTGCTTATGAACTTGCTGCAGAACTTTCAGCAAATTGCTTTGCTGTTTTCAGATTTGGGTCACAGTTCAAGCAATGTAGTCCTGTAACAATGCTGTCCTTATACCTGCATAACCAAAGCTTCCAGACACAGAGCACATTTCCATCATGTGCTCCAACACACCTAGCCATCATGCCTCCTCATGCAGGTTTGCCTACCTGCAGTGCCCTGCCCACTTGACCCCTGCAACTGACTCTCTGAAGCTGATCTTGACTGCTCCCTGCTCTGAGACCTGGAGAACTGGCTGGAGAACTAGCTTGTTACTGTCTGTGTCGCCCCCTGCATCACCTCCTGCCTTGCTGCTGGCACGCAGAGTGACCTCAGCGCTTCACCTGTCCACCTCTGTCACTATGGATCCTCCATACAGGAGGAAACCCTGTTGTCTAACCACAGGCATGCCTGAAGCAGCCAGTCAGTCAACACTGATGAATGACGTGCTAAATTCATGTGCATTTTATTTTGATAATGGAAGTATCATATATCTACTATGTGAAATTTTGATAAATGGATATTAAAATATATAACACATGTATGCATAAGTGTATATTCATAATATCCAGTTGCTGAGGACTAACGGCAGATCATAACAGTTGGGATATATCAATATATTAATATGCTCATATAGGTAAGTGGATATTTAGTAAATACCTTGTCCATTGAAAAAACAGCTAAGACGTCAATGCTTTCTTTCCTTAAAAACTTTTCTTTGCTTTATGCCCTTAAAGGAGCAGCCGTTCTCAACTGGGGGCAACTCTACCCCACAAGGAACCCTTGCCAATGTCTGGAGACATTTTTAATTGCCATGGCCAGGGCGAGAGGATGCTCCTGGTGTCTAGTGGGCAGAGGCCAGGGCTACTGCTGGGCACCCTACGTTGTCTATGGTGGCAAGTCTGAGAACTGTGTCAGAAAGGATCCATAGTAAACAGATATCATGCTCCAGCTACACCTGCCTGCTTTCCTGATTATGTGGTGTCTCCATATTGGTTCTTTTCATTGCTTTAATAGGAGAACAATGGCAGTGCTTTATATTCGCTTTCTATCTCTGCCAGAAGAAATTACCACAAACATAGTGATTTTAACGCAATGCACATTTATTATCTCGAAAGTCTTGGCACAGTGGGGCTCAGCAGATTCTCTGCTAGAGCCTCAGATGGCTGCAGCCAAGGCATTTGTGGGGCCTCATGTCTTTCCAGAGCCTCTGAGAAGGCATCCTTTCCAAGCTCGTTCCAGTGCTGGCAGAATCCACGTTCCTGCTTCTGTAGGTCTGAGCTCCTGTTCCCTGCCTGCTGGCTGCCAGGGTTCATCTGTTTCTTGGGGTGCCCACCTCCCTTACCCTGTGGCCCTTCCTCCTTTCATTTCCTGCAGTGGGTGGTACCCTTCTCACCCTTCATATCCTTCTTGCCCCCTCTGCCTCCCGCTCCCCCAACACCACCTCTCTGACCAACTCTGCTGCTGCCTAGGGCGCAGGGGATGGCACTAACTCACACATAATCCAGGGTCACATCCCTGTTTTAAGGTCAGCTGATTCGTAACCTTGATTTTATCTGCAAAGTCCCTTCAGAGCAGTGTGGGTGTTGGATGGGACAGCCTCCTGGGGGCTTCTCTGGAATATGAGCACCACTCAGGCTGCTGCCCCCCAGGGCAGGTCCTTGGCCTCCTAGGAGAGCCTTTGTAGGTGGCCTGACTCCCTCAGGCATCCAAGGCTGGCCTGGGAGTTTTCACCCTGGCTAGGCTGAAGTTTATGGTCAGGGACCCGAGTGAGTCCCAGCCCCGCCTCTTGCAGCCTGCAGGTGCCTTTGACACTTGTCCTGTCTCTGAGAGTCTTGTTTTTGTTGACTGTCCACCAGGTGACATTTTCCTCAGGGATCTTGCTGGGGGAGCGGCAAGAGTCTGAAGCCCCCAGGTGACTGACTTTCCAGCCTCTGAAGCAGGACAGAACCAGGAAGGGGATCCTCTCCCATCTGCCCCTCCCTGCCTTTTGTTTAAGTTTCAGTCTTCCTTGGCCTTCCCGTGGCTCAGCGGGAAGCTGTCAGAAATGCCACACACTGTTTGCTGTGCCAGTGGGGATCCGCAGGATGTGCAGACAGGAGCATGTGGAACCCGGTGGGCGGTCGGGAGGGGAAAGAGCAGGAGCTGTCCTGCTTCCACTTGGCACCCGGTGGCCAGTACATTCAGAAGGGAGGGACCCTGTGTGAGGTTCGGCTCCTGGCCCAGAGGACTGGGCAGAGTGACCCTTGCCATTATCTAGGCATCCGTCCTTGCCTGAGATGTCTCTATGCATTTTATGGGGCTATGCTTGCTGCCTCTGGCTTCATGGGGAATTGTGGGAAAGGCTGGCTCCCAAGCTCAGTTTCCCCAGGGTCAGTGAAGCCAAACCACCAGGCACGCCTGCTTCTGGAGATGCAGGCCCGGGGAGGTGGGGGCAGGGCAGGGTCCCTGGTGAGGGGAGGGTGGAGGCTACAGGCAGGGGTGGGGTAAAAACCCTGCCCAATTCTAATTCTCTTGCCTCCACTTACAGGCCTAGTGACCAGGTAAGTAAGAGAACCATTCCCCAGCCTCCTTTCTGTTATCTTTAGAATGGGGTTCTACTCCTGGTCTCACTGGTTTGTGGCAAAGATTGACATGGGGCTGTGTCTCTGTCTGAGACTGTGCCCTGTGAGGAGGCAGCTCTCAGTCTCTGGCATCTGCTGTTACTGCTCTGGCTGTTGCTGTTCCTTTCATAGCCCCATAGGATTTGTTCTCACTCTCCCAGAAGTAAGAAGGGGCGTTGGAAGAACCCTGGTACCTATGGCATGGCCCAAGGGCCGTGTCAAGGGAAGGATGAAGGATCCTGTTAAGACTGAGGCTCCTGTGAGGCAAGGAACTGTGTGTCTTGGGGAAATGCTGTGGGGAGTGCTTGGATAGATGGGAAACTCTGGGGGTCTCCATGGGTCTGGTTGTCCTGCCGAGATGGTGGAGGATGAGACAGAGGGTCACAGTGGAGCCCATGAGAGGCCTGACCAGCTGGAATGGGGTTCCTGCAGAGTGCCAACACTCAAACCAAACACAAGGTTTTGGGAAAAAGAGGGAAGTTGCTGGGTTGAGGCCTGGACTGATGTGTGGTGAAATCAAGGAGGTCCCTAAACTGAAAGCACCAGGCAGGGAAGAACATAAGAAAGCAGGCCCCAGGAATTCACATGAATCAGAAAAATCCTCGAACCAGAGGAGCACCCTTCTGCTCTAGACTGGAGAGCTCTGTGGAGTGGGGTCCTGGCTGGCTGGTGGGACATATGGGGCCTCTCTGTGGCCTGGCACTTCTCCTCCCCCTCACACCTCCACCAGCCAGGTCCACACAGTCCCATGCCCATTCACTCTTGTCTCCCAGCCTGGCGGCCTCCTGGGTGAACCTGTCCTGGTGCGCCCATCCCCAGCATACTCCCACCCCAGAGCATAGCTGGTGGATCCATCCCCTGGGCCTACCCCAGCCCCCTCTTATTGCCTGACTGATGATTTCTGAGCCTTCCTATGGTTTCTCTGAAGGCAAGGAGAGACTTAGCTTCCTCCTCGTCCCTTCCTTCCCTGATACATAGGGTGAGTGCTTGGGAACAATCTGCAGACCAGGTGAGCTCAGCCTGACAGGGCAGCAGGAATCAGGAGGTCCTCCAGGGGAGCCAACCTGCAGCCAGGCCTGGGTCTGCTCACATGCCTTAGGACCCAGCTTGAGGGAGGGCATGCCCTGGGGGAACCTGGGTCTTGGGGGAGCCTGCTCTGGGGTGGGGAGGGTCTTGACTGGACTGGAGCAGGCTGCCACAACACCACCACCATGGAGGGAGCAGCCAGTCATTTGTGCCCAGGAGGGCAGCTTGGCACAGGGCAAAGTGCATAGGCTGGTTTGAGAACCTCATTCTGCTATTTGTTTGTTGCTATTAATATTATTATTAGCAAAATGTCAACAGCTAGATGTCAGAAGCCCTTGCCTTGTGTGATCTTCATGCACTGTCTCATTCAGCCTCACCATGGTCCTGTGAGGCAGGTGTGTTAGTCCATTTGAGTTGCTATAAAGGAATTCCTGAGATGGGGTAATTTATAATGAAAAGAGGTTTAGTTGGCTCACAGTCCGCAGGGTGTACACAAAACGTGGTGCTGACATCTGCTTTTGGTGAGGCCTCAGGAAGCTTCCAGTCATGGTGGAAGGTGAATGGGAGCCAGCGCATCACATAGTGAGAGAGGCAGCAAGAGAGAGAGGGAGGAGGGGCCAGGCTCTTTCAAATAACCAGATCTCAGCTGAACTCTCGGAGAACTCATTCATTACAGCAAGGACAGCACCAAGACATTTACAAGGGATCTGCCCCCATCATTCAAACAGCTCCCTCTAGCCCACACTTCCAACACTTAAGGCCACATGAGATTTGGAACAAAACATCCAGACTGTATCAGGAGGCTTTGTTATTTCCATTGCAAAGATGGCAAAAACAGAGCCCAGGGTGGCTACTCACTGGAATTGCTAGGATTTGACCTCAGATCTCTCTTATTCTCAGTTCATGTGTTTTCGTTCCCTCTCTACTGCCTCCCAGCTCACTGTGTTGGACAAGTTACATAACCTTTCCAGCACCCTGTCCCTCAGCAGCCGGCTGTTATTGGGCTTGGAGTTGTGGCTCCTGGCCCCATGTTCTTTCTCTATAACTGTTCCAGTTAAAGCTGGTGCAAGGAGGCCTTCAGGTCTCTCACCAACATGGCATCTCTGCCTGGGATGCAACATGCCAAGCAGGTGCCTACCTGCCCTCCTGCATGTGCCTGGAGGGCCCCTGGTCCACTGTGGCCTTATCCCTGGACCACTATGGTTTTGTGTCAAGGACAGGAACTTGAGGCCAAGGAAAGGAGGATGGGTGCATTGATTGTTGACCCGTGAACATGTTCAGGCAAATAGAAAGTTTGTGCAAGGGGTGTGTGTGTGTGTGTGTGTTACTCTCTACATTCCCCAGGCTGGTACAATTAGCCTATGTTGAGGCATTTTTTAGCAAGTGTTGGTTGTAAGCTGGGACTTCCCGTAATTCAGATGTCATTGTGAGACTTTGTGGGCCTTGTACTTTTTCTAAATTTCTAAGCGAAACATGCCCACGATAGGGGCATGGCAGGACTGTGTGCATGCTCCTACAACAGAGTCCCCACTCCTCCTCCCCTACCGTCTCAGAAATGCTTGATCATATGGCCTTTGCTGGACACATGGCACAGGAGACTTTCCAGGGCATGACTGCTTTTCAGGCATCTGGGTGGCATGCCTCTGGCAGAAGCCTCTGGAGCTGCAGGCATCATCCTGGCCCTGGGGGATGCTGGTGGTGCCGGGGCTAGGGTGGCAGCAGCTTAACTCATTTCTTTGTGTGAACGTTGGAGTTCTGGTTGCCTCTAGTGATACCTGGGATGGTAATTATTCAACTATTCTGTGCCACCTCTGCATCATTGATTAATGATTCCCAGGACTACAAACGCATTTCTCTGCAAACAGCTCTGTTTGACTTGAGGAGTGACTGATTTAATGCATATTAATTGTGGGCTCATGCCAGTTACCACGTGGCTGGGGATGTCCCTTGTACAGCTTCCAGAACCAGTCCAGAGTCAGTCCTCAAGTGAAGGTTTGCTTTTGTTATTGTTCTTTGATTACATGAAAAATTAAACATCTGATTTTTTTTTCATACAAACTCAATGTAAAATATGAGTTTGACCTTGGTAGAAATGATCCGCTCAAAGGGAAAGACATTTTCCTCTGGATTGCAGAGAGTGGCATCTTCTACAAGCTCCTCCCAGGTATCTTTAGCTGAGGCTGTTTGTAGAAGGTGAGGGTGGGTGTTAACCTTTATATGCAGTAACTTCCTGTCTTTCTGAATCTCCATGACTTTCTGAAATGAAAACAACACATGTCATTCCTACTTAATATTTCTGAGACGCTGGTTAGCATTCTTCATATGCAAGGCCATTCCAGAGCTGGCCTTGTAGTTTCCCTGGACTAACTTCCCTTATCCTTACACATGCGCATAAACACACACACATGCATGCACAGACACACATGTGCAACCACATGCACACACATACATGTGTGCATACACACATGCACACACACATGCACACCTGATGCGTGTACACATATGCATACACATACACATGTGTGCACGTGCACACACACACATACACACCCCTCTGACTTTTTAATTATACAGAACTACCTATAATTTCCAAAATTTCCGGCTGGTTCAATACTTTGTGCCTTGGAATGCTCCTCCCCTGTTTTTTTATCTTTGTAACTCCTAACTCCAGACTTGGAGTCACCTCCTCAGGAACCGTTTCTCTGGTGTCACCGCTGCCGCCTCTTCCATCTCAGTCTGAGTGAGACACACTCCTGTGTGCTCCCAGAGCACCTGTGCTTTTCCTTCCACACTGCTGGGAGAGCTGATATCCTGCTCTCTTTCTTTCCTGTTAGGTTGTAAACATCTTAAAGGCATGTCTTATTTTCCTTTGTGCCTCCCAGGGAGTGGGGCATATGCTAAACATTTAATATGTACCTGTTAAATAAATGAATGAACAAATAGATGAGTGAATTATGGGCAATATGCTGACACCAGATGAAACCTTTTTTTTTTCTTAGCCTAGCTGGTGCCCAACGGTCGGTTTCTTAGTGTATGGGCTTCAGATCACCTGCATCAGAATCTTCTGGGTTGCTTAATAAAATTCACATTCTAGGGCCCTACTTTGCACCTGTTGAATTGAAACTTCTGGGGATGTAGCCTGGGAATATGAATTTTATCAAGCTGTGCAGGTGATTCTCATACATACTAACTTTTCAAATAAATGCCCCAAATCCATGAGTCCAAGTTTTACAATATTCAGAGCTACCCTGGCTAAAAATGCGCTCCAATTTTAAGCAGTTGCCAATGATCAGTCCTTAGTGAACACAGGTTATGGTGAGCATTGTGCTTTGAACAGTCCTTGGGTCTTGTAACATGTTTCACATTTCACTGGTGCAACCAAACAAGAGCAAAGGTATTGCCATTTCCACCTGGTCTTCTCCATGTCTGCAGAGAAAGATTGGAGGTGTGGCTGTCTGCAGGCTGTCTGTGGAAGTGACACATGCAGGCAGGCAGGGGGCATCCCTGCTCCTTGTCTCAACCTGAGATGTACTTACGTGAAAAGATCGATGCATCATTACATTCCTTTCTATATTTCCCAAATTAATATATATGTGTATATATGTAAAATATAAAACAATAAGGAGATGTTCTCTCTCTCTCTCTCTCTCTATATATATAGATAGATAGGTAGATAGATAGATAAATAGATAGATAGCATCTCCTTATTGTTTTAACATACATTCCTTTGATTATTAGTATGACGAATTCTCTGTCTAAATACATTTAAGATAGAAAAAAGTAGATACTAGAGCTCATAGATGACCAAATATAGCCTTTTGCCTCTTTGATACTTGACTTTTTCTCAGCAATCTGTGCTTTTCTAAAAAATAAGAATACTTATTCCATATGCCAATACTATTAGAATGTATTCAGAACAAGGTTGAGGCAAGCAGAGATGTAGGAAGAGGGCAGATGATAAATGGGAGCAGGGCTAAAGCTTTCTTTGCAGCAGACTCACTCACCGTACACACAAACGTAAGGGAATGCATATATTGGCAGCTCTGTTGCTGGGTACCTTCAGTCACCTCTCTGGACCTCAGTTTTCCTACCTATAAAATCAGGGTATTTCACCAAGTTGCAGACTGCTAATGCTAGAGAAAACTTTAGAGAGTATCCGGTTGACCTTGCCCATTATAGATGTACCACTGAGGCCTGACTTTAGAAGAATGTGCTGCTGTGTGCTACCACTGAATGTCCCAGTAGATTGTTGTCTCCCTGCTATGGTTTGAATGTCCCCCAAAATTCTTGTGTTGGAAACTTAATTGCCATTGTAACAGTATTAAGAGATGGGGTCTTTAAGAAGTGATTAGGCCATGAGAGCATGACCCTCATGAATAGATTAATGCCATTATTGCAGGAATGGGTTCATTATTATGGGAGTGGGATCCTGATAAAAAGGATAAGTTCAGCCCCATTTCTGTCTCTGTCTTGCATGCTCACTTCCAGCTTCCGCCCTTCCATCATGGGGTGACCCTCACTAGATGCCAGTGCCATGCTCTGGGACTTCCTGTCCACCAGAACCAATAGCCAAATAAACATTTATCTCTATAAATTACCCAGTCTGGGGTATTCTGTTATAGCAGCAGATAATGGACTAAGACACCTTCTAACTTTCGCTCCAGCATTTTGTTGATTTCTGGACAACCTGTTTGTCATCATACACAGAGCTAGCTGTGGCTACTTTCTTAGTTATTTTACCCATCAAGAGTGCTAATATATCATTCAGTTGATCTTAAAAAAGCTCTACTTATGAGGCAAAAGTTCTACTCTTTAAAGTGATCAATAGAATCATGGCATAAGGGATTTCTTAATCATGAGTAAACTTAGGGATGGAGCCCTCCTAGGGCTAATTTAAATGGAAGAGCAGGTAATAGTTCACTTGGGTTCATTTTCTAGTTTTTAAAATGCCATTTCTTTTCTAGCAGAATCAATGTTTAAGCTATTAACCCAGCTCTCACCAGACATTTTTCTTGTGGTTTGGCTTATTCTGGTTGATACTTAAGTCTTCCCAAAGGGAAGCACCAGATCATAGGCATGTGCTCTGAGACCCTGGTGCAGGCACCATGGAGGCTGTGGTGGGGGCCTGGTGTCACAGGGAGGAGAGAGGGTTTGGAGGCACATAGGCCAGGGCTGGCATTGCAGAGCCACATCATCTCATCATGTGAACCTGAGGTTGGGGTCTCTGAGTCTCATCTGGGAAAAGGTACAATAAGAGAAAAAGTTTAAGCAGCCTGACATAATCTTCCTGATAGTCCTGGTGGGAGTGTAAATTAGTGTCACCTTGTGGGAGGGTAATCTGGCAATGGCTACTTGAATTAAAAATGCCCATACCCTTGACCTGCAATTCTGCTTATAGAAATTTATGCTTCAGGCCAGGCGCGGTGGCTCACGCCCGTAATCCCAGCACTTTGGGAGGCCAAGACGGGCGGATCACGAGGTCAGGAGATCAAGACCATCCTGGCTAACACGGTGAAACCCCATCTTTACTAAAAAATACAAAAAATTAGCCGGGCGTGGTGGTGGGTGCCTGTAGTCCCAGCTGCTCAGGAGACTGAGGCAGGAGAATGGCATGAACCCAGGAGGCGGAGCTTGCAGTGAGTGGAGATCTCGCCACTGCACTCCAGCCTGGGCAACAGAGCGAGACTCCATCTCAAAAAAAAAAAAAAAATTTATGCTTCAGATTTACTTGTGTATTCAAAATGACTTATCTGCAAGGATGGTCATTGTAGCATTGCCTGTTATGTCAAAACATTTGAAAGCCACCTGAATCAAAAAAGGACTGACTGGTCAAATAAACTGTAGCATATCCATTCAAGGGAATAGTCTGCAACTATTAATAAGAATTAGACAGCTCTATGATAAATGATTTGGAAAATTATCTAAGATGAATTGTTAAGAGAAAAGTCTAGATGCAGAGCAGTAAGCATATAAATGTTCTTTGTGTAAAAAAGAATATGTATAAACATGCTAATGTATTCATACAATCTCTTTGGAAGAATATCCAATAAAGTGGTAATGGTGGTTGCCCCTGGGGAAGACTACTAGAGAACCTGGGAATGCCACACAGTTACTCAAGTCCCAAAGTAGACATTTATCATTTATCCTCAATTCATCCTCCGTCTCCTCCCCTCCCCTCCCCTCCTTTCCTCTCCCCTCCCCCTCCCTCCCTCTTTCCTTCCTTCCTTCCTTTCTTCCTTCTTTCCCTTTCCTTTTCTTTTCTTTTTCTTCTTTTTGCTTTCCAGTTAGTCCAGTAGCAGCTCCTGTCAATTCTCCATCTTCTTGTTTAGATACACCCACTTCCTTCCCTCTGCATTCTGCCATCCATCCCAGACCACTGAAATAGCAACACAACGGGGCACCCTCCTTTCAGTCTTGACCCTTTCTAATGCCATCTCCACCCAGCAGTCAGTGTCATCTTTTGGAAACAAACTCTCCCATGGCTTTCTGTTGCAACCACAATAAAACCCAAGGGCCATGCTAAGGTACCTAAGACCACCTATGATGTTGGTACTCCTAATTTCCAACTTCATCTTAGCCGTACTGACCACTTTCTGTTCCCCAAATCAGCCCTTCCTGCCTCTAGGCCCTTAACTGGATGTCCCCGTTCCTTGAAATGTTCTTCTCCAAGCTTTTCCAGAACTTACAAGTTTCCAACCTTCAAGTTTCAGGGTCTATGTCCTCACCAAGAATAATGTCCAAGAACAGAATGGTGTTCTCGCCAAGTTTCTCCCTGCCTTTGTCATGATCACTCTGGTTTTTCTCTCTTAGCATGTATCACAGGTTGTAATAGTTGGTTGGTTAAAATCCCGCTACTGGATTTTAAGCCCTGTGAGGCTAGGATTCTTGTATATCTTGTCCACCTTATCCCCAAAGCCTGGCTCAGTGCCTGCCATGGAGCAGAGGCTGAATCCGTAACTGCTGAATAGATGACCACCTGGATGAATGAATAAAATTGGAAATGAGTCCACTTTGGACTCTGGCCTGGAAGGTGGCTGGAGGGCCAGCTCCTCTGACAAGGTAGATTCAGAATAGACCAAGAAAGCCAGCTACCTTCACCAACCTTGTTTACAGAAACAGAGGCTCTCGGCTGGTCCTAGCTTACGAAAAACAGCTCAGCCCTGACTTGCCCTGGATCATAGTGGTTAATACTTATCTTGGAACAAAATGCTCAGTGAACCTTTGCTTTCTGCCCTTGGCTCTGGCTTTCACGGATCCCATTTGGTGCAGGAGTTGGAAAACTGGTCTTCAGGGCACCACTGTGGCCTTGTCATTGCTCCCAAAGGTGAGCAGGGAGCTTTGCTTCAGTCCCAGGCTGTGTCACTTAGTAGGTGGCTGATCTTTAGTGAGAGTCTTATCTCCTGGAACCTCTTTTATTTTTTTTCTCCCAAACATATCTATTCTGCTTTTGTATAACTGGAATTAGCACAAAATTACCATGAGAAAATGCTGGCCTCGGCCTTATTCTTGGTCCCTTTAGGCTCTCATGTTCTAGAATTTATTGATTCACTCACTTGTTCCTTTAGGGTTTACTATGTAAGGACCCACTTGATCCTTACCACATGCAGAACTCTGGGTCATACCAAGATATTGTCATGGGTCAGGTTCTGCACGGAGAAAGTTGATTGGGAATGAGGATTGCAGGGCTGGGCCAGCGGAGAAGTGCAACCACAATGTAGTCTCAGCAAAGACTTCAGCTGATTCCAGAGCAGCTCTAGGTTTGGGATGGTTGTTTAGAGTTTTCTTGAATTGAGCCAGAGGGGCTAAGCCTTCCTACTCCACATTGTCCAGTTGTTGGGTACAGACTGCCCCTGGGAAGAGGATGTGACCTTGGACCAGGGGCTGTATTCAGCTAAGGCAATTCTGGAGAACTGCCAGCATTTCCAGCAACAGGGGAAATGCTCACCTCGGTCCAAGAGGAAGGATCTGGGCAGAGCACCGTGCATCTTCTGCACATGTTTCCTTGGCCTTGCAGAGATGGCAGTACCTGTCTTGCACTTGTGGTTCTAGGCACATTTGAATTCTAGTCCTGGCTCAACCATGTACTGGCTGGTCCCTGGACAAGCTCCCTCTCCTCTGTAACTGAGCGATGTCTTGTACCTGGTGAACTTTCCTCACAGTTAACTGTGGGATGCTTTGCATGGTTGTAGAGGGCCTTAAAGTGAGAGAAAGGACTTTGATGTGCTGAATATAGCAGTAAACACTCACCCACACATCTTGGTGGGAGCAGAGGTAGGCTTGAGTAGATCAGACACCAGCCCAGGTGGGGTGTGGTAGTGCCACATAGGCTGTGAAGAGCAGTACAGTCCTGGGACAGCGGGACTGCCATTCATACAAGGCACTGCTCTCACCTCCAATTGCCCCATGGATGGCTGGTCACTACCCTCCTGTTTCCCCCAAGAATCATGGGCATGCTTCCTGTGCACCACCTGACTCTGCCACTCTCTCCTTCCAGGTGACGCAGAAGTTCTCCCTGGTGATTGTGCAGGGCCACCTGGTGTCAGAAGGGGTCCTGCTTTTTGGCCACCAACACTTCTACATCTGCGAGAACTTCACACTGTCTCCCACGGGTGATGTCTACTGTACCCGTCACTGCTTATCCAAGTGAGTTATCCACTTCTCCCAGCAGATTCTTCCCTGAGCCCCATTCATCCTTACCAGCCGCCCCCACTATTCCCCTTCTCACCTTGTTCTTACAGTGGGCTTAGATTTGGGCCTGAAACTGAGCCATGAGATAAAACAGAAGGACCTGCAGGCATAGGCCATCCATGGCCATGGTTCCCCTAAGCAGTGATCAGGACTGGGTACTAATGTGGCAGCTCCTCACATCTCCCCTAATGTGGAATGTCAGGACTCAGGGATCAGTCCTTCAATTATTCGCATGGCTGAATTCAGTCGCCGTCAACTTACTCACTCAACGACATGTTAGTTGCTCATTCTGCGTGAGAAAACAGGCACCGCCCCTCTCTTCCGAGGGACTTAATGCAATCGGCAGCATGCACAGGTTCTTTCAGAAACTGTTGGCCACACACTATGGTCGTGGGACAAAATCTTCAGGGTTCAGGCTTGGAGGGATGGCCTGGGACTGGAGTGGTGGGGAAGAGCTACCTGAGGAAGGGATCAAGATCTGGGTTTTGCAGAATGGGTGAGACTTGGGAAGAAACTTGAAGTCATTTTTACACAAGCAAATACAAGAGACCTTTGGCAGGAAATGCCAAGTTCTTTAGGATCAAGTGCAGTTGGTCTATTTGGGTACAGTCAGCCCTTATTGTGCAATTCTCCTGTGTTTATGAAGTAAGGCCATTCAAAATCAAATTGACTGAGCTTTTGCCAAAAGTCCAGTTGTCAAGTGTATGTTTTCACTTGATCATTGTCTTTGAAGATATTTGGATGAAGAGTTCTTCGTGCAGAGATAGGCCTTGCCTTTTCCAGTTGACCCAGGTTCAGATAATGACAAGATGACTTCTTAGCCCAGTCGCTCTCAAACTAGCTGACACCAGCATAGCCTGGAGGGCTTGTTAGCACACAGATGCCTGGGTCCTGCCCCACCCTAGTTTCTAATTCAGTAGGTCTGGGGCAGGGCCTGAGGTTTAGTAAGTTCCCAGCTGATGCTGATTCTATTGCTGGTCTGGGACCACACTTTGAGAGCTACTGTTTTAGGCTGCTGACTGAGGAGTCCAAGTCTTATCTGCCAATAACCAAGAACTTTAACTTCCAGTTGTCCTATCACTTCCAACCTATGTAAGGAAGAAAGAGTTGAAGGAGTGCGGAAGAGTAGATGTCAGCCCACCTTGGTTGATTTAGATCAAAATGCTTTAAAATGCTTGGCATTTTTCTCTCTGCTAATTTCCATATTTTATTCATACCAAATGTTCACCGATTGCTGTGAGTCTTCTGTGCTTCTCCAAGGCAGGAGAAGCATAATTAATACTTGGCTCCTCATCCCATCTTATTGCTCATGTTTTATTGATACTGATCAATATGGACAATGGGCCTGCAGCCGTGCCTCTCTGAGAGCGGATGAAAGCTTTCTACTCTATCCATATGCACGGTGTGCCCCTGTGATGACTCACATAATCCACTGCTGTGCTCTTCACCTCTGGTTTAGATAGTGTTAGATAAGATCTTATTGATTAGGTAAATTGTGTTTATGAGGTGTACCTAATCATGATCAAATTCACTATATCTGCACTTTTAATAGAAGCCCAGTGGTCAGATTTTATGTACTCACTTGATTTGCAATGACAGACAAGGGAGACTTCTCATGTCTGAAAATGTACTTCTCTAGAATGCAAGCAGGAGTAGAGTGAGAACAAATTACTACCCTGGAATTGCACTGGGGAAGTGCCCAGATAGTTTTAGTCACCATACCTCAAAGAAGCATTTGTTAATCAGTGCTTTCTCTCCAGGGTCTCATCTGGTGCCCTAAGAAACTACTAGCATTCCTGGAGATGCAGTTCTGAGACAGACTATTAGATCATTCCAGATCAATGGGGATTAAGTCTTATTTTGACCATGGAGATTAAAGAAGATACATAAATAAACTTGTTAAAAATAAAGCTAAGTCAAACCTGAAATGTTTCTGTAAAAGACTGCTATGGAATTGAGTCAGTTGCACATTAGACCTTGAAAGAGCCTGTCCGATGTACCATAAAAACATCCAAAATCAGACTCAAGAACATTACAGACTCCTTGACAGTGACTGGAATTTGCACTTTGCACTTTGGAAATTTCCTCAGAAACTAACAGCCTTCTGAGAAGGTTAGCTTTTGCTTGTAGTAAGTCCCTTTCTTAGCTGATTAGGGTGGCTGTATTCATTTGCTAGGGCAGTCAAAAACTGGGTGGCAAAAAACAAACAAATGCACACACACAAAAAAACAGAAATGTGTTGTTTCATAGTCCTAGAGGCTGGCAGCATGAAACCAAGGCAAGGCCATGCTTCCTCTGACTGCTCTAGGGAAGCCTCCTTCCTTGCTTCTTTAAGCTTCTTGTGTTTGCAGACAATCCTTTGCATCCCTTGGCTTTGAGATGCATTGATTCAGGCACCTGGTCATCTTGTCCCTGTATCTTCACATCATCTTCCCTCTGTGTGTCTATCTCCGTGTCCAAATTTTCCCTTTTTATAAGGACACCAGTCAGGTTGGATTTGGACCCATCCCAATGGCTTCATTTTAACTTGATTACCTCTGTAAATATCCTGTTTTCAAATACAATCACAGTGTGAGGTACTGAGGGTTAGGATTTCAACATATCTCTTTTGGGGGACACGGTTCTACCCATGACAAGGGCATTCAAGCTCACAAGGCAGAGAATTTGATTAACTTAGTGGGAACCTAAGTCATCCAACAGGCTCTTTGTGATAGAGTATTTTAAATCAGATAATTCTTCCCCATCAGTGAGCAGTTTTAATGCATCATTTCTGTTTTATTCAGTTCAACAAATATTTATTGAAAATCTGTCTTATGCTCAGCACTATGGTGGACTCCATAGATGGAAAGAGTGAATTAGATGTGGACTAAATCGGGTAGAGAGTTTACAATCTAGTGAATGTTTCTGGGTATAAATTCCAGGTATAATTCTGGCAACAGTCAGGTAACTTCAAATGTGGGCCAAATCGAAGTATGTTTTATCCTGAAATCCACTTCTACTATCAAAGAACAGGTCAACCAATATCATAACTATCATTTATCTCACTGTGATTTATCTAGTCAGAATATTGACAGTTATCCTAAGCACATGGACAGTTTTTGCAGATCCTGCTGGCTGTTATGCTGACGAACTGTGAATGGCAGCCTCTGAACTATGGTAATGGCTCTACCCAAAGAATATGGATCAGCTGCCCCTTCTACCCAGTACCCTTGACTGCCTGAAATTCGATTCATTTTGTAGAACATGTAGGGTGTAGTATTGTCGAAGACTCCCAATCACAGCTGTGTGAATGTTACATATGATAGACCTCAATTTGGAAGTCAATCAGGGGAATCAATAATGTACATAATTTAGCTTTTCTGAGACTTTGGGTCTTTCTGAGGATCCATCCTCTATATGGCTATTCAGTTTCTACAAGCAGGAGGAAAATGACTATCTTTTCTCCTAAAAGCTCGTTACCATTTTCCAGAGCATTCTTCCATATGTCATCTGTGTTTCAGAGTCCTGAGTTGCAGAAACAGTCAGCACAGAGCAAACTGAAAGCAGTGAGCCAGTGGTAGAGCTCTGTAAAAGCTAGGGAGCATTTCTGCCTCCAGGGAGAAAAGGCACTATTGAAAGAGCATGGGTGTTAGAGTTGGAGGACCTGGGTTTGAAACCAAGTTTCACCTCTTGAGGACCACATGACCTTGGAAAAGTCTCACCTCTCTGGAATGCAGTTTCCTCATTTATGATATGGGAATAAAAATAAGTCATGGTCAGTATAAGGTTTCCTTATGAGGATCCAATTAAATAATGAATAGGGAAATGCTTGGCAGGCCAGAGAGCATGACAGTCACTTAGCAAACATGTCCTGAGCTCAGGGGAAGATACAGAGGACGGAGAGCCATGGGCAAAGACCTGCGCCTTGTAGGGTCTGCAGGGGAGAGAGAACAGCCAGACCTGCAGCTAAGGTATGGAGAATATTTTCTGTGGTTCCCACAAGCATGGGATGATGGGAGCACAGAGGAGTGGCCATGTCATCCCCACCAGTACCTTGACCTGGGATGCTGCTAGACCTAAGCCAAAGGTAGGAAGGAGAATTGTCTCTGTGGCCTTACTGGGAGTCAGAGATGTGTAGGAGCAGCTCAGCTGAGATCCAGATAGAGACATTAATAATGGACAAAGGACCTCAGCCAGCAGCCGGTTTGTATTAAAGCATCCTGGCAGAAGCATTCAGAACCAAAGCGGTGTTTTGTGTTTGATCCATCCTACCACAATGCGGCTTAGAGGAGAGGGCCTGGGAGGGTTGTTCTGAGAAGGGTCTGCAGAGAGCCTGAGTCTGCAACCTCAAAGCCCAGCTGTTCAGGGGCCTAAGCAAGGGGCTCAGGCTGTGTCTCACTTGGGCAGGCTTCCCTGCTGCCCAGCACAAGTCGAAGCTCTTAGTACTGCACATGCTGGACTGCCACTGACCATAGACTAGAGAATTCCCTCTGGGTCTGTGACTGCTTGGCCTCTCTCAACTTCCCCAAGAAGTGGGGCATGGAGGCTCCATGGGCTACATTGTAGGCTGGGCCTTGGGGACCACACTGGGAGCTGGAATGGGAGAAGCTGAAACAATTTCCTCACCCACTCCCTGTCACCTTAGGCTGGGGCTGGCAGGACCACCTTGGGGCAGGGGCCTTTGTAGCCCTTGGCTCTCTGGGCCTGTGGTTGGCACACAGGCTTCTTGAGGGCTGGCGTGCTTGGGAGGCCTTCGTTTCTTAGTCCTGGCATCTTATCAGAATGGCTGTGGTTGTATACACAATTTAAGATGACTACATGCCCCAGATGTTCAGAAATGTAACTGTCTATAACAGAAATCAACTTTATTTCTGAAGCTCCCATGTGTCCAGATGATGAAAAGCTTCATATGATTAGCTCAAGGCATTTCAGTTATTTCCAGTGTACAAATTGTTCTCTTTGGGAATAAATATTTGGACAAATTTATTATCCTCCCTTTCCCCTCCTCTCTTCTGCTTCTCTGGGAGGAGGGGTCACTCTGAGATCTTTCTGGAAAAGCTTCCTGCACACCCCTCATAACTCTCCAAGGGGCCTCATCTCGGGACTGCCTGATGCCTGCTGGAGGCATGCCTCTGTTCCTCCAGGTGCCCAGGAGGTGGGTCCCTCATCACACGTGGGTCCCTTCTCTGCCTTTTCAGTGAGTTCCTTATCACCTCTCCAAGATTGCTTCTCACTGCTCCAGGCCTGGCCTGGGAATTTTAAGATGCACTCCCTACATTTTCTCTGTCCAGCCTGGGTCTTGCAAACTGAATGAGCTCTGGCTTTCAGGAAGTTATTTCTGCTGTGTGACTGAGCAATCGCTTCAGAATTCAGTACACCTCTTTGTCCTGGGCTGGGTATACCCAGCAGCTCAGGCCTGTGCCTTTGTATGGTCTGCAGGGGAGACAGACCAGTCAGACATGCCGCCAAGGGGCAAAGGATATTTGCTGTGGTTCCTGTTAGCATGGATGCTGGGAGCACAGATGAGTGGCTATGTCATCCCCACCAGTACCTTGACCTGGGATGTGGTTTGACCTAAGCCAAGGGTAGGAAGGAGAATTACCACTATGGCCCCACTGGGAGTCAGAGATGTTTAGGGGCAGCTCAGCTGAGAGCCAGATAGCTCTCAGGGCTGCCGAAGATGTCAGGGAGACAGGCCAAGGGTCCTGAAGAGCTCCCTGGTTTGACACGAGACATCACTCTACAGTCTCAGTGAGAGCCTCACTCACCTCTGAAGAGACCTCATCCTGAAGGTTGCCAGGGCCCAGGCCAGGCTGGGCAGCCTCTCAGGATGCAGGCGCTGTGCAGATGAGCTCTAGGTGCTGTCCTCATGCCTTGCCAGCGGCCTCTTTGCCTTCCTCTGCTCCACTCCCTCCTCTTCCCTGTGGTGCCTGACCCCTCCTAACTCTGGTTTGCATTCAGTCTCACAGTCACCTGACTTCCCTCAAACCTCCCTGCCAAGTGCTCTGTACTCCCCAATCCTGCCATGAAGGGTCTGAGTCCTGTCAGTCCCTGTGGCAGCCACAGGCCACACCTGACTCAGTTACCTTGTCCAGCCCCTCAGCCCTGCCAGGGAAAGAGGTCATTCAATACAAAACGAGAACACCTGGGCAGAGGGACTAAGGTGTGTGGCACGGCAGGTATCCTGGGGCTGAGACTGTCACGCCTGGGCAGAGGTAGCTGGCACAGCGCCAGGCTGGGCATGGGGGAGCCAGGGAAGAGAGGCCACAGGAACCCACGAGGGCTCCTGGGCATGGTTTACAGTCACGCACAGGACCCATGAAGCCCTCCCTGCTGGCCCCCACTCTCACCCAGGGGCCTTCTCACCCCGACCCTCATACCCTTTGTCAGCATCATCCTGGAAACTGCGCCGTCATATTGCTGTCCCCTGGCCTGGTGAGGCTGGCACCCCACCCTGTTCCTCCAGGGCAGGGCAGCTTTCACGTGTCAGCGGCCAGTGCTAGAGCTGACATGGGCAAGCACTCAGCAAGGATTTCTCAGATGAGTAGGGCTAGCACACTGGTTGGCAGTGACCACCGCACTTCTCTGATGTGTCATTGGAAATGTGGGTGGAGCTGGTGGAGGGCAGGAAGAAGAAGAAGCCTGCACGTGTCCTCACTCTGATGTCTGAACATGTGCCCTGCATGCCTGTTTCCTTTTCAGCATCAGCGATCCGTTCATTTTCAACCTGTGCAGCAAAGACAGGTCCACTGACCATTACTCGTGCCAGTGCCACAGCTACGCTGACATGCGGGAGCTACGGCAGGCTCGCTTCCTCCTGCAGGTAAGCACACTGGGTGCTGGCACGCCTGGGGCCTGCGAGAGGCAGGGCCATGGGACAGGTGGTCCAGGAGCCATCCAGAGACACACCTCTGTGACTCTTCTTTGTGCCTATGCACAGCCCAGTGCCCTTAAGGAGACACCCGCAAGTTCCCTGGGCTTGTGGTGGCCCTGGTCCCAGGTGGGAGTTCTGACTTCTGCTCCACTCTGCAGTCCTTGCCGTTGGCTGTTGGGCCTTTTGCTGTGTCTTTTAGGATTTAGCTGCTTCGCTGTTTTGCTCTTGACACAGCCCAGAGCTGCCTTGGAGATTTAGGAATACAGGGCAGGACAGATACATTACCTCCCAGTAGAGCTGATAACTGGGAGTAGAGTGCCTTCTGCCCTGTCCTGCCCACAGGGGTAAGACCTCCCTTGCTGACATACTCTCCCCCTTTCTCCCCAAGGTGCTCGCCTATTGCCAAGCTCCTGCTTGGCCCTGTTTCTGGGGCCAAGTGGTTTAGGGATCTCCCAGCTGCCCCCTCCAACCAGGATCTTTCAGTGCCTCACCCATGCCTTCAAGGGCTTAGCCAGGCATGCAACAGTGATGGTGGCTCCTTTCAGAGGAAAAGCTCAGCCATAAGCTGGTCATAACCTCCCACTTCTCATCCCACTTCACAGATAGATCACACTTTCTAGAAACATCACCTGAGCAGCAAAGGGAGTAGGGTAAACTTCAGGGGCCCCCAGTGACATCAAACACATGTTGCCTTCATTACCCCAAGCTCAGCAATAGCAAAGCTGCATCCCCAGTCCCTGGGCCTCCAGGGCAGCTGGCAGAAAAGGGGATCCTAGGGACCACGTAACAGGAGGGTCAGGATCTCTTCCCACCCTCTCTACAGGATCACTTAGTTCCAAAGGCCAGCAAGAGAGCAGTGCTTGGCCTAGATGAACTAGACATTTTTCATTTGTAAATCTATTTTCTGTACGTAGGTCATTGATTCATCCAGTGACCCCTCCTGCAAGAGGGCTCACTATCATTCTCTGAAACTGAAGCTCAGGGTGGCCTTTAAGGTGGGGGAATTCCTGAAAGGCCCCAGCTGCCCTCCTGTCAAGGGTTTGCCAGCAGCTCCACTCTAGCCCTCTAATGAGCACTCTTCCTCCCTCTGCTGCTTTTGCCTGCAACACAGTTAGTTCTCATTTTGCCTGAGCTTCCTGAGGGCCTTTGCAGGGTGAAGGAGCAGGAAGAGCAGAGTGGAAGTAGCAGCCCTGCCCTGATGGTTCTGGGCAGTGCTGCTGGTTCTGGGCCAATCTCCACCTCAGCTCTGCCACATTAGCTCCTGTGGGCACCTCTCTGGTTTCCTTGCCCTTCAGTGAGCGGGAGGCCGTGTCCTGCCTTTCCACTATTATACATACAGCACTGAGTACAATTTTAGGCACAAAATAGGTACTCAAAATTATTTTTTATGATTATATGTCTACCTCACATGTTATATAGAGTAGCAGATAGGTATCAGTCAGTGGGGTTTTTTCCCCAAGTACATGGTGATTGTTTCCAGAGGGTTGGTTCACCTGAAGTGGTGGAAGCCAAAGGGAGAGCTTTTTGAGCAAGGCCACCATTTGTCCATCCCTGGATTCTCCCAGGAGAAAGGCAGAGCTTGGCACTCAAGGTATCCAGGGCAAGCTGTACCCTCCACAAATTCTGCATTCACTTCCTGTTTTGCACATTATTTATATTTCTATTTGTAGAAAAAAATCCAAGAGTCTCCTGTTCACTAGCAGAGGAGAGAAGGTATGCAACATCCTTGCAGATACCTTCTCTCTGCTCAGGAGAGTTAATGAACTGGACTTTGAGAACTCACTTCCAGCCAGGTAGATGCAGGACAGGACTCTGCTATTGGGTGCAGTACCCACCTCTGAGTCTGAATCTTACCCCACCCCATCCTTCCCTCCATGTACAGGTCTCTTCTCTCCCTAACTCTCCCTTCAGCCCTGGGAATTCTCTCTCCTTGGCCTCATCTCATCCCTGAGGCTTATCTTATAGGTAACTCACTCTATCTCTTATTCCAAGTTTATTATTTACATAGCTTGGAATAGAAGGGAGTTAGAGAGGAAACAAGGGTGGGAGAAAAAAAAAGAAAAGATAGTTATGTGAATTTAATTTAGGCATTAAGGAAATACCCCTGACAAAAACTTTACTATGCCAGTGGGGCCACATCAAAATGGCCTCGGCAGGGGACCCTGTGCTGCTTAAGTCTGTAGATCAACCCATGATGCTGCCCAGCTGCACGCACTGAACTAGATTCCCTAGTTCAGTTTCTGGTAAGTTGACCCCCTGGCTCACCCATGCCATAACTCAGAAGTGAAAAAGTCTGAGGATGGCATGGGTGCTTTCTCTCGTGTCTGCTTCACGCTTGCCCTGGGAGTGGACCTTTCGCTTCCTGCTTCAACAGAACTCCAAGCTGTGGTCAGGCCCCCTGCCCTCCCACACATTCTGCAGAAGCACCCCATCCCTGTCACCAAGGTCTTCCTACCATGGGAACTCAAAAGGACGACCCAGGAAGGGTCTTCTGACACGGAGACCCGCAATGACCCATTTCCAGCAGCTGTGTCACCCTGGGGCGTCTCTAGTCCACAAAATATCAGGAGCATTAAAAGGGGCTTCTCTTCACAGGACATCGCCCTGGAGATCTTCTTCCACAATGGATATTCCAAGTTTCTTGTCTTCTACAACAATGATCGGAGTAAGGCCTTTAAAAGGTAAGAGCTTGAAAATCCTCCTTCTGAGGAAACTGATCCTGAACTGAGAGCAGAGGGGCAGAGAACACTCAGCTCTGTGCTCAGGAAAAGTGTTCTCAACCCACAGTGAACGCCACTCAGGCTGGGCCCAGGGAGGCACTGCTGGCCTGCAGAACTGCCAAGTCATGAAATGATGTACAGGAACAGGCAGAGAAGGCCCTTCCTTCAGTCCTAGGAAGCAGGCTCCATTTTCCTGAACTGAAGTGGCATAGAACAGGAAGTGAGAAAAAAATTACGCAGCTACCACAGAGTTAAGGAACTGGCTGTTTAATGGGCCTTCCAGAATGTTCTGGCTTTATTTTCTAATTTTCCAAGTAATTTTTTTGGCTTAATCTTTCTTTCTGATCCCAGTTGCCAATTTTAGTTGCTCCAATTTCATATTTCATTGGAAGGAATTCCAAACAACTGATTTCCCACATGTGCACTGAACATGTTTTTCTCCAGATGGATCAGTTTAAGAAATCTAAGCCAGTGTGTAAGTTCTTAATACCATGGTTATTTGTTTTTATTACCATTAAAGTTATAGATCAGTAGATTGGTTTGTAGTGAATCTAGAAAGAACAGAAAGGAAGGTCAGTTCCTCATCATTATAGACCACAGAGAGGCTGATTAACAGAGGGAGTGGTTATGTGCTGCTCCACATGGGCTGGAAGTTCTGAGGTGAGATTTGATATCCCCTGGCCAAGGAGCCCATTTTGTGCTCAGAAATTCAAGCCCTGCCTTCTAGTGGCCCTGTGGAACTGGCACCCAGGGCCCACTACTGCATCCAAGAGGCAGGGCCAGGGTGGAGAAAAACAACTGTAGAGAGGCTTTTGTGCTAGTTCTAGGCGCACTTCCTTGGACTCAGGTGAGCCTGCTCATGCGGTTCTTCCATGCTGCTGCTAGATTGCCCCCTAAAATTATATTCAAGGCCTAGTTTAGACCAAACCAAACAAGCAGACATACAACCCATTAAACTTGATTCATTTCCCCCTATGGTTTCTGTTCATTAAACAAAGTTTTTCACAGTTGATCTAGAAATCTTACACCTCCATAGCTCAGGATGTGAAGGTGGCCTAATGCAGACTCCACAACCACTACCCACTCGGCTCAAGGAGCCTGGCATTAAGATGGCATTTGTCCTCACAGCAACGCACTGGAATGTACAGCAGGATTGTTGACATTGGCAATGTTGTCAACTGCCTGGCCCAGAGGCGGTACCTCACACACACTGCCTAAGTAATTATTGTTTTATTGTTGTCATTGTTGGTATTAAGGCAATAGTGTGTAATGCCAGAGAGTGCTGAGGGTTGCCTCAGAGGTACACCCAGGCCTGGTGTTCACGACCTGGGGGCAGGATGGAGCGAGGGGGAGCAATAATGAGCCTAGCTTCCTGCCTGACTCCGGAAATGCCTCTGCAGCAGGAGAAAGGGTCTTGACTCTGCTGATGGAATTATCCCTTCCCTTTTCATGTAGCTTCTGCTCTTTCCAACCCAGCCTGAAGGGGAAAGCCACCTCGGAGGACACCCTCAGTCTAAGGTAATGGCGGGTAGCCATGCTGTCTGGGCATGGCACTGCCCTGGCTTTGATGTTCCTCCTCTGCCTCATCCCACTCTAAAGAAGTCTTGCAGAGAGCATGCCCAACAGTTTCCCTCATTTTTCTCTCTCCTATTCCTATACATCCTTCATCCTACTCCTGAAATTCCTTCTGCCAGTTAAACCTCTGTGAACAGACTTGAAGTCTCACATGCCCTGTGGCTTTTTCAGACCCAAGTGGCAGGAAGCCATCCTCTGCCTTTGGTGACTGGGCAGGTGGCACAGAGGTGTGGAGTCAGGCCCAGCCTTGGAGGTCAGGCCCTCCCATGGGGGTGTGTGAGCAATCCCATGCTGTCCCTCCTGTGATGAGGGTTTCTGAACGCTTAGAAGCTAAATTCATACAAGTTGGTGTGCGAATCAGACATTAATTTAGGAATCTGTGCTATGGGGCGTCTCTCCCAGTGAATGAATTGCTTGCAGTCCCCCCCGCCGCCGCCAGGTCCCCTTTCCAGCTACCCAGTTCTCTGGAAGGCCACTTAGGGATCAGTAGGTGTTTTTATTTCAGTCGGGGTGAGAATAGAAGAAGGTGGTAGCTGGTTTTCTACAGGAATGTGTGGGGACCAATCAAGAGGGTGTCCCCAGGAATGACATTCAAGATATTTATAATCAGTATAAAATGGGTCTCACTAATTCCTTCAAAATTATTTATTAATAGCTTGTGATACATGGTATTTGCTTGTTGATGGAGCAACAAGCAAATAGAAAAAAAAAATCCCCTGTCCTTATTGAGTTCACATTCTCACCAGGAGGACAGACATAAACCAATATAAATGAGTGAACTATAAAGCATATTAGATAATTATAAGTGTAAGTGTAAAAAACCAAGCAGATAGAGGTGGGCATTGAAATCTTAGATGAGGTGGCAAGCGAAGCCCTTATCAAGAAAACAATCTTTGAATTAATACTTGGCCGGGCGTGGTGGCTCACTCCTGTAATCTCAGCACTTGGGGAGACCAAGGTGGGCAGACCACCTGAGGTCAGGAGTTCAAGACCAGCCTGGCCAACATGGTGAAACCCTGTTTCTATAAAAATACAAAAACTTAGCCAAGCATGATGGCAGGTGCCTGTAATCCCAGCTACTTGGGAGGCTGAGGTGGGAGAATCGCTTGAACCCAGGAGGTGGAGGTTGCAGTGAGCTGAGATCGCGCCACTGCACTCCAGCCTGGGCGACAGAGCAAGACTCTGTCTAAAAAAAAAGGTGGAGAAACATGTTATGCAGTTAATTGAGTAAAGAGTGTGTCAGACCCAGGGAAGAGCAAGGCATGGCTGAGGCTTATCAAATTGGAGTGCAGGGAGTTAGTTGGGGTGGAGGTGAGGGAGGTCACAGGGGATAGTTGGTGCAAGATTCTCATGTCGGTTTTTATTCCAAATAGATGGGAAGCGTTGGAGGATTTTAAGCAGAGGGTTGATGTGAACTGACATATTAATAAGAATCACTCTGGCTGCTGTGCCAAGAATAGACTGGAGTGGGTCAAAGGCAGAAGCTGGAGACTAGTTAGGAAGCTATTGCTGGAGGCTGTTGCAGTAATCCAGGTGAGAGATGATGGTGGCTTGGATCAGGAACATGAAAGCAAAGATAATATGATGTGATCAGATTATGGACATGTTTAAAGGTACATTTGATGGGATCTGATGACAAATCAAGTGTGAGAAATGCATGTATGTGACAGAGGACTTAAGGATAAGACAGAGGATTTAGGCTTCAGCAATTGGAAAATTAAATGAGGATGATCAGAGAAAGAGTGGCTGTAGGGCCACTGTGGCTATCTGAAGCTCAGATTTAGACATGTGAATTTTGAGATGCCTATCATACATCTCAAAGACATCATGGAGCTATTGGGCATATGAATCTGGAGTTCAAGAGAGAGGTTCAAGTGAGACATAAATTTAGAATAGTGTTTAAAGTGATGAGAATGGGCAAGATTATCAAGAATGGATGCACATGGAAAAGAGATCAGAGGACTGTGCCCTGGGCACACCAAACTTACCCTCTGGTAAGGACATGGGCAGAGCCAGCTGAAGAGATGGGGAAGGAGTAGCCAGAAAGGTAGCAGAAACTGTAGGTGTGGAAGACATCCTGGAAGCCAGGTAGAGTGACTCAAGGTGGGAGTGGTCAAGTGTTGTTGGTAGGCCAAGTGGGATAAGAACTGAGAAATGACCATTGAGCTTTGTAACATGAGAGTCATTGATGACCTTCAATAGACTAATTGCAGTGGCTACCAGCAGAGGCTCCTATTGTGCCAGGCACTTACCCTTTATAGATTGTGGTGAAGTGCAAGGCATGCCAGGGTATGGTCCAGGGGACCCGGGCAGCAGTGGGTCGCTGGAGTTGGGGTGGCTGTTTACCAACTGTAATGGGCATAGTTTAATAGTTCAACAACAGGATAGTCCTAATTGTGCATATCTGCTGAATCTCAGCCCTGCTGATCTCATATTGTTTATGTTTCATATAAGCCTTTATGTTCATACTTGGATTTCTCAGCACTGTTTCAGTACAAGGTAAAAAGCTATTTCAAACTAATTGAAGCAAAAAAGAGGATTCATGATAGCATCTACCTGAAGGTCAAAAATGGTCTGGCTCCAGGCATGGCTGGACCGCTAGGCACAAGTAAGTCTGCAGGAAGTGGTGGCTCTCCCTCTCTCAGGGAGGATTTTACTTGGCCTGGCTCCATTTCTCATAGGCGTTCTCATCACAGGGGCACCGATGCCCCCAACAGCTCCAGACTGACAGTCAATCATGCAGGAATCCCACCACACACCGTACATGCTCTATCCCGGTAACTTTAGCAAAACTTCCCAAACTGTCATTTTCCCCAGTTAGGTTAATTACATGCCCATCCCAGAACCAATCAAGTGTTTTCATTGGCTGGATCGGAGGGATGTACCCGCCCAGCTTCTGGGGATAGGGTCAGTCCCACCCAACTACATAGACCAAATTGAGGGGAGTATGGTTCCCTGAGAAAATCAAGGTTCTGTTATCCACAAGGGGGTGAGCACTAAGGGTGTCAGCAAAAGCAGGTGGCCACACATGGTTCCACGCAGAGGGAAGTTCCAAGCCGCAGCACTCATGGGCTGCAGATGGTTTTCTCTCTCCCTGGAGCAATGCTGCATCAATCATGACACACATCACTTCACTGGGCTCCATTGTCTCTGCAGCTCACCCTTTGATGAACCTATTCTGTAATGTCACTCAGTGACAGCATAGCTGTCCCTATGACTGTGGGTAGCTCTCTGTCCATTATTTGTCTTTTGTCCTCAGAATCTTAGTGTTGCCTTGCCTGGAAACACTTACCTTCCTCCACATACCTTCTACTCCAAATATAGAGGGGCAGGTAGAGGAGGGGCAGAGGGAGGAATGCAGAAGAGGAGCTTACCCCCAGCTGTGCCCACTAAGTTAGAGGCCCCTCAGAAATGATTGCCAGGTTGGAGGAAGATGATGTTTTGTAGATGAGTCAAATGTCTGGAGATTACTCCTTACTCATCCCCAGGTTGATGATGACCTGCAATGCCAACCTGTGTACCACCTTGCTTCTGTGGTACAGTTGAGCCCCATTCTGATTTTATTTCCAATGTGATTATTTTTGCCATCATGGCTACCTGATCCCACTGGAGCAGGGTCTTCCAGGGCTATGCTGGGTCATTCCTGGCACAGTCTCAGCACAGCTCCAGGTTGGAGACCCTTGGAGAAGCTTCTGGGGTCATCTAGGAACAGTGCTTAGTGCTTCAGAGGAATGCTCATCTCAGTTCATGGAAGGAGAGCCTCAGCAAAATGCGGACACCCCGCAGAGTGCTGACCCTCGGCTCTGAGGCCACCCATGCAGTGAGGGCATGTGGCAAGACTGTGCTAAATAAACAGCCCCGGGCTTCAGGATCAAGCTGATTTGGGCTCATAGTAGGTGCCCAGTAAATTGTAATCCTTCTGCCTAATTTTAGAATCACCTGATGTGTGTTTGGGCATGTTAACAGAAGAATTGATTAAAAGCAGGTGGCTCTCCTTGCTCTCAGCTCCTCGGAGTGGCCCCCTTTCCAGCCCTTCTCTTGCCAGCCCAATTGTGGCTTCAGGAGCTCCAGGGTGGGAAGGCAGTGGTGGCCCTCAGCCTTAGGAGGGCTTGGCTGGCCACTGACATATGCCTGGAATGAAGCTGATGATTTTTCTTTTGGATCACTGGAGGCAATAATCATAGAATGAGTCTTGAAAAATGCCTAGCTGCTTGTTAGTCACTCTAATGAATGTGGACTTCTTACCTATAAACGAGGTGTGTGTGCCGTTCTGAGGGTTTTCAACTGGCCCATGACACTTGGCCTAGGCTACAGATTTTCATGCCCTAAACCTTCAGCTTTTGATGACTCATGTGGCTCCTTTGGACACCATCCCACACATACAGGAAAATCAGAGCTTTTGGTACCAGAGTTTGCTGAGGCTTTCAGTGACAATGGTTGCCTCCATAACTATATATATGCTAAGAAGGCTCTCTGGGCCTGAATTCCAAGTAGAAAATACTTGCAAAGCCTGCGTGAATCCTGTCCCAATGGTACAGGACTGAACCTTTTGAAGACAGCATGGTAGCCTGTTCAGACTTCTGTGGGGTGCAAGGTTCTGCAAGCCGACAGGGCCTTCTAACATATGCCAGCTAGAGCTGTTGGATGAGTCCTGCTCTGTGGTGTTGAATACCGGCAGGATTTTTGAGATGTAAAAAGACCAATCAGAAAAGGAGAAATGATGGCAGGAACTGCAGGGAAAGGGGGCAGCTAGCTGGAATGCACTTGTGGATAAACACACATCCTCACACTTAAATGTACTCATGCCCTTCCAGAAAGGGCTACAGACAGCTTCAAAATTAAACACAGGGTACAACCATCCTTTAACAATTACCCAACCCCTTTAAAGGGGAAAAAATAGGTGTGGTCATGTGGAGTGAGTTACTCTAATTGTCCTGAGACTAAGAAAACTAAAACAAACAATCATATTGGCTTATATTATTTTCCAGGGATAGATAATAAGAAACAGGCTTTTGCGATTTTTTTTTTTTATTTCTGGAACATACTTTCTCTTGGTGCTGAATATCAAATTTGGTTCTTCTCTAAAGGATTGTGGGTACCAAAGGTGGCAATTCCTTTTTAATAAAACATACAAAAAGAGTACTGGGGAACCTAATTCTCTGTATCAGTTCTCTGCATGAATGGGAGCCTAACATTCGCACTTATTTTTGTACAGGCATTTCTTTGGGAAGCTAACAATACCTGGCTCAGTTACATTGCTTTCTAATGACCTCAGTTCATACTGAGCCCAGATTTCAGAAAACTCAGAGAAATACAAGGCTAGGATGCCTATCTGATTCTCTTTCTCTCAAATCTCTCTTGGGCTCAGCACATATTTTTGGATAAACTGGAAACATCCACCATGTCATTGAGGCAAAAGCATCCCCGGGCTGGAGAAAGCCACTGGGTGTGAGATGGTGCTTGTATTCAGGGCCTGATTGTACCTGGGTGTTTGCAGTTCCTAAAATCATTCTTAACTGTATAAATTCTTCATATATAATGTTTAGAATGAAATTTATTTTGGGGGTGCAAAGATTTACAGTTGAACATTTTCAGTTTATTGTCTCCTTTAGAGATTATCTTTGAAAAATAATGAAAGACAAATAACTTAAAAAACCTACCATAAGAACCTATGCGATTCCCATGAGAATATGACCTTCCATGTTAATTAACCACACCCCAGAGGCACCACAGTTAGCTGGGGGGAGGCTAAAGTTCAAGCTCCCCTTCCTAGCATTTCTCCTCCTTCAATCCTGCCCCCTAGAGATTCATGCCATTGGCTACAGATCTGTAAGGTACACAAATGCTTAACTAGTAAAGGTAGTGCTGGCTCCACCACTGAGTAGAGAAGCATGGTCCTTGGATTTCTTGCTGTACTGAAGCCCTGGGAGCACAACTGTGGAGACCAAACTACTCATATCCTCTGTCTATACCAGAGTCACTGGGACCAGAGGCGAACGGCACCTGGCTGCAGACTCAAAATGAGAGTGACAGCCAGTGCTGCAGCATCTAGGAGCTTGTTCACACATTTGGCTTTGTGGGCCATGAGCATCTGATCCCTGGCCATTCTGCCTAGGTCATGCTCAGACCTTGGCCGTGGCCCCATTCCATGTTCATCTTTGTCTGGCTGTACTAGGTTCATGCCTCATCTCTGCTGTATCCTTAGCCGTAACCTCAGATCCCTTCCAGGGCAAAAGCCTGATGCAAGCCCCAGTCACTGTAGCAAGCCTGCCCTTTTTCCTTCCAACTCTACCCAGCCACATTGCTTCCACAACCTTTATGCTCCCACACCACCAGGGGTGGGGAACAGGTGTGCAAATGCCCAGGAATGCTGATGAGCAACCCACTGGTTCAAGGTTTCTGCCATCCTAGTTGCCCCCTGTGCCCAGCTACCTCCAGAAAACCTGGGACATAGAGATTTCATGCAGTTTCTATTTATTTTGCAACTTTTTCAGGAATCTGCAAGAATAAGATCAACAACGGGAAATTTTAGATTAGCCGGCTGAGCCGAGGTTAAGGTGCCTGAATTGCCTTACTCTGTGCCTCAATTGTATATCTAGGCTGACTCGGTGTTTTAGATTCTCATGTTAAGCTTGCCATAGTGCCTCATAAATCAGCACTGGGCAGATGTATAAGGATCTATTGATTGTTGCATCTAGGCTGTAAGATTTTTTTTTTTAATTTTTATTTCAAAATATTGATTCACAGTTGCAAAAATAGTACAGAGAGACACTGTACACCTTTCACTTAATATCCCCCTCTACCATGGTTACATTTTATATAGCTATAGCACAATTTCAGAACCAGGACACTGACACTGGTACATGTGTATGCGTAGCTCTTTGTCATTTTATCACATGTAGATTTGAGTAACCACCACCACAATCGACATACACAGTTATTTTATCACCACAAAGATATCTCTGTGCTACCACTTTATAGTTATGCCTACCTCCCTGTCTTCCCCCACCATCCTTAAATCCTGGGAATCATGAATCTGTTTTTCATATCTATTATTTTTTCATTTACAGACTGTTCTATACATGGAATCATAGAGTATGTGACTTTTGGAGATGGGCATTTTTTTTTTAACTGAGAATAGTGCCATTGAGATACATTCAAGTTGTTGCATGTATCAGTGGTCTGTTCCTCTTTTCGCTGAGTAGTATTCCATGATAGAAATATACCAGTTTGTTTAACAATTTGTGCATTGAGCAAAATTTGGTTGTTTCCATTTTGTGGTCATTACAAATAAAGCAGATTGTTTACATTTATTACAATTATCAAAATGTTAGAATACAAGTCTGCCATTTTATTTTTATTTTTTGTTTTTTTCCTGTTGTTTATTTCTCTGGTTTCTTTTTCCTGCCTACCTATGCACCATTGAAAGATTTGTTAAAATCCTACCTTATCTATAGTATTTTTTAGCATATTTTTCTATATAACTTTTTGTATAAATTGGAGTTGCTTGAGGTATCTTAGTCCATTTGCATTGCTGTAAAGGAATACTTAAGGCTAGGTAATTTATAAAGAAAAGAAGTTTATTTGAGTCATGGTTCTTACAAGCTGTACAGGTGCCGGCACCTCCTTCTGGTGAGGGCTTTGGGGTATAGGTGCTTCCACTCATGGTGGAAGGTGAAGGGGAGCAGGCATCACATAGTGAGAGGAAGAGAGAGAGAGGAGAGGGAGGTGCCAAGGTCTTTTTAACAATCAATTTTCAACAGGATCTAATACAGTGAGAACTCACTCATTACCAAAAGGATGGCACCAGGCCATTCATGAGGGACCCACCCCCATGACCTTCCATTAGGCCCCACCTCCAACACTGGGGATCAAATCTCAACATGAGGTTTGGAGGAGACAAATGCCCAAACCATATCAGTATCTCATTATACCTACATAAATTTATCACAGACTACTGGCATTGAGATGTACTAGTCTGAGTGAAATGTAGAGGCAGTAAGCCTTTTAAGTCTTAAAGTCTTAAATATTTAGTTGTCTATAATATATAATCTGTAATTTTCTTAAATTTTTTTCTATATACATTTTAAAAACCACATCAAATATTTCCCAAAGTCATTTTCACACACAGGTGGGCTAAAGCTAAGGGAGGTGAAGTGAATTTGAGAAGCAAGTCGGTGGCTTGGCCAGCTCCGGCGAGCCTGGTTTCCAGAACATCTCACTTGCCACTCTGTCTTCTCCTAACTGGGGGCTTCTCCTCTTCAGAGTCGTTTATTCTGTTAGCTGAGTAGTCTTCAAGATTTTGCCACAGCTACTCTAGGAAGATGTCAAGCGTATTCTGGGGATGGAGACACAAGAAGGTGAGGCAATTGCTCCAGGCCACAGAGGCAAACACAGCAAGGGCAGAGGTCACACCAGCTCACCAAGGTCATGCCTGACCTTCAGGATGGTCAGGTTAGTGTGAATGGGGGTTTTGTTGTATTTGAGGAAAGAGAACACCCAAGGCTTTCCTATGAAGTATTTTTATGCTTAATACAATTTCCAAGGAGTAAAGGTGACTGAGGTATTTTAGAGCATGAAGGAACACCAACATCAAACCTTTTCCTTGGCAGAAAAAGAAATAGAATGCGGAAGATGCCTCCTAACTGGTCTCTATCTCCAGTCTGCTTCGTCCTGCTGCCAGCATTTCCTGGCTAAAGAGGTGTCTGACTTGAATGCATTGAGGCAAATCCAGCCCACTGCCTGTGTATGTCTCAATCCTGGTAAAGTTAAATGCACTTGAAACTCCTTCCTGAGATGTGTGATAAGAGGCAAAGCATGATAAAGCCCCAGAGCAAGGCTGGAGTGAGTGTCAGGCCAGCCAAGCAGTTGGCAGCAAGTAAGGGTGTTGAGGACCAAGCATGGCAAGAAGTGTGCTGCAGCGGGGAAGGGAGGACGTGGACCAGCAAACCCTGGGCACCAGGTGGGCTCTGTAACCTCGATGTTTCTCTTAACTTCTCTCCTTTGCTGAACCTTTTGAATACCTAAGGAGGGAAAATTAATTCTAAAGAAAAAGTGTCTGAAGGGGGAGAAATTGAAATGGAAAGTCATCATGTAGCTATCCGGCACTGTCTGTCTCAATCATATGTCTCTGCGTGGACTCTATACCTTTTGGGTCAGAGAAGAAGTGACTGAAATAGCAGATTGGCTCCCTTATGGATATGTCCAAGACCTGGCAGGCTAGCGGTGGCTCCTATACCTACAGCATGGTGTCTCATCACACATGTCTCAGACACGGTCACTCCCCTCAGCTTCAGAAGGGGTTCTCATGAGTCATTTCAGACAGTAGGTGAAGAGAAAAATGTGAAGGACAGTGCTTAGTGCTGGCAAGGATGCCGGGAAATGGGTTCTCTACTACGTTACTGGTAGGCGTATGTGTGTAAACCTTTTATGAGCTACTTGATGGCATGTATCAACATTATTGTTAAAAGACACCCTTTAACACAATATTTCCAATAATGAGGCTATGCCAAGGAAATAATTAAAAATATTTTAAAATGTTTTAGTTATATAGGCTCTCATCACAAGACTATTCCCATTAGTGAAAACTGAAAATAACTTAAAGGTACAACAGTAACTTATAGTTATGTATATCCACAAGAATAACTATCTTGCAGATGTTTTAAAGTGTGTTTATTAATACCAGGTAACAGCATGGGTTTCAAAGCAGGACAGAAATGACAGGAATGCTATAATTTTAACTATGTATAAAAATATATACAGAAAAATAACTAGTAAGGAACTCTGCCAGCATTGCAGCTGACATACTGTAGAATGATGAATGCTTTAAGCTACTATATTTAGTAGTATGTTGTGGTTCTGTTACTTCTACAATGAAAAACACTTAATAAAGGGAAAAACTAAAATGAAAATTTTGAATCTAGATCTCCCAAGGTTTTAGAAATATGATAGGGTTGTCATAGCTAAGCATTACAAGAGGAAGTAAGCAGCAAGGGGTGAAGAAATGAAATGTGCTGTGTGCTGTGGTTGACAATGTGAGGAGAAAATAAGTTAATACCACTTCACTGATGGATGCCTCTTGGTGCTTCTCATCATCCACTCAGCAAACTTGCCAACAACATAGGAAAGTCCTGGGGGAAAAAAGCCTCCCTCAAGGTATCATTCTTGATCTTTTCTTTTACCCACATGAAGGTGTGAGAGTGTGGTACACAGGGAGGCCAGAGAAGGTTCTCAGCTATTGTGAGGATTGACTTGGTTGCTGTCATTTTCTACCAAAAGATCTAGCGTAACTGGCACCACTGTTCAAAGTAGTATTTCAGCTTTGCAATGAACTAAGTTATGGTTCTGGAAGAAAACTGGCTTCTGCTGAGTACGTTCTCCATGTGCTGCCTGTTTTAGAGGCACAGAACACTTGGAGTTCAGTGTGGCATTATTCCCACTTCACGAGTGAGGGAACCTAAGCTATGTTAGGTGCCCAAGGGGATGCCAAGTCAGAAGCAGAGCTGCCATGGACCTAGACCTGTCCAACCTCAGAATCTTTGGCTTTTCTCTTTGCCAGGCCAGCCCTGCACATCCACGACTGGGATCTCCTGAATGCCTCAGACAGTGGTGCTCTGCCCCATCTCATTTCAGTTGCTCTCTCCTCCAGCTTGCACCAGGCAAGCCAAGCTTTCCCCAAAGGGACACGGCCCCTGCACCTAGCATGGTGCTGAGTAAGGTGTTGATTTATTGAATGCACCAATCCATACTTGCCACCATTATTTCGTTTCTCCTATGAGGATCTGGAAAAACACTGAATGTAATAGGATGGGAGTGCAACTTCATTCATTCACAGCCAGTCAGAGGTCTGCAGGTTTAGCCAAGAAAGCTCATAGAGCAAGTTATGCAAGCTCAGTTCAGAGAGAAAACATTGCTTTGGGCCTAAGAAGCTATCTGCCTATTGATGCCTTAATAATAAAACCTGCCCATTTCTGTGGTCCAGCTCTGTCCCCTACCCAACACCAAGTGCTCATCTACTTTCTTACAAACTCATGCTCTGAGATTCCTTGCCTTTGAAGCCCAGACCCAAAACATTTCCATTAAATAACTTCACATTTGGGATCTGGCAGTGGGCTCTGAAATGCCAGTGATAGTGAGTGTGTGGCGGCATTAGCTGCTTAGGCCACAGTGGTAGACAAGAGAGATCTGGGGGCAAGAGTAGGATGGACATGGACAGGCCCTTCCTGACTCACTGTGCCTGTACTTGTGAGTGTGTGTGCAGAGGACAGAGAAATGTGTGGAATGGCAAGGAATCAAAAGCCCTTCAATCAACACAATCACACGCCGAGAAAGTAAGGAAAGGAGTTTTATGGGCTTGGCTGAAAGAGCTGCTGCAGCCACAGGGGAGCCCTTGGTTTCCTGTGGAGGTAGCCCACTGCCCTCTTCCCTCCCTCTCTCTTTCCCTTCTGCCTCAGGGTCAGGTTCCAAGTCACCTCCAGTCTTCCCAGGAGTCCTTGGCCATGGAATTGGGTGAGATCAGATTGGGAAAGATGGTCTTTCTCGGTGTCGTCGTGGCCATGTTCTTGATTCTATTCAGGTTGTCCCGGGCGTTTTGGCATTTTCTCAGGCAAGCCGCACACAGATCCTTCTCCTCCACAACATACAAGTTCTCCAGCCTCCTGATGGAGTCTATGAATATTTCCGACTCACCTGGCTTTGGAAAGGGGTTCCGCTTTATGTTGAGCTTTTTCAGCTTGGGGAGCTTGGAGATGCTCACGGGGATGTTGTTCAGTAGGTTGTCATGGAGCCCTACCTCGTGGAGCTCCTTCAGGGCCCCCAGTGTGGTGGGCACGCTGTCCAGGTGGTTCAAGCCTAGGTTCACAGCGCGGATGTTCTTGAGTTGCTTCAGCTCCACGGGCAGCCCGTTGCTGGTCAGCCGGTTGTTGCTGACGTTGAGGTAGAGCAGGCTGGTCATCTGGCCAATGGACTCAGGCAGCTTGTCTATGTAGTTGCTGTGCAGGTCCAGCCACCGGAGGTTCTGGAACTTGGAGATGGAGTCAGGGATCTTCCTGATAAGATTCCGGCTAAGGTCCAGCTCGTCCATGTCACTAAGGCGCAGAATACACTTGGGGAAGGTGGTAATTCCCATCTTGCTCAAGTCAAGGCGCTTTTTCCCATCAAAAGTGATTTTGATGCAATTCCTGGCCACCTTGAGGGTGATCTTCTTGCCCTTGGGGCCTTTCTCACCCTTAACCATGTTCTTTTAGTAAGGGAGTGTTAGAAGTTTATTGTTCTGATTGGATAGTGATCAGTGTGAGGAAAAATCATGAAAAACTGCTGAAAGATAAGAAAACATCTGGTTAGGAGATGCCAGAGGGCACTGGGCTCCCCCACGTCATGACGCTTTGCTCTTCAGTGGTTTAAAAAGCAAGAAAGAGGATTGCGGAGAGAAGTCAGGGCAAAGTGGACCCAGCCCAGCCATAGATTGTCAGCAAACTGTGTGACTTCTTCAGACTTTGATTTTCTTGGATGTTAAAATAGGAGGTGCAGGGTCAGCCTGAAGGACACTAAATGTCCCTCTAGCTGTGCCATGCCCCGACTTATAAATACTCTCCACTGTCCCAGACTGTCACGTACCCCCAACCCAGAGCCATGTGTGTGTGTTCTTGGATATCTGCCCCTTCCTAGACCCCTGCATTAAGCTAGGATTTCCTGAAGTTTTCATACAAGTTCCTGGGGAGGGACTGCTGAGTTTTCCAGCCAACATAAGCCTGGATCTTAGAGAATAAGGTGGGTACTAAGACCAACTTCTCACATCCCTCTTCCCCTCATGGACCCAGAGGAACTAGTGAGGCCTTGGCTACAGTCCAACAGTAGCCATGCAGAAAAGCCTGTTGCTCAGCCCAGGGATATCAGGGTGTGCCATTGCTGGGCCCAGCAGCACCATAACTCCCCATCATGAGCACACAGGGGGATGGGGGGTGCGGGCAAAGCTCATGGAGAATGCTGCCTTTTCCATCTCCTGCCCATTCTCTCATCCTTCACACTGGACTTCAACTCCTCTGCACAGAAACTTGATAAATGGCCGTGACTGCCTCAGTGCAGGGAAGCAGAATGTCAATGTGATGTGATGGGGATTCTGGCTTCTGCATGCTTGGCTTAGAAGTCCAGCTCTACTCTACTCACAATCTTCTTAAATTCCCAGTGCTTGTGTTTTCTTATTTGTGAAAACAGACACCCTTACAGAGCTATGAGGGGGCGTAAATTATCTAATACTATAAAGCACTTATAACAGTGCCTGGTACATAGTAATAGCTTGATTAATGTTAGTTATTAAAAATTGCTACACATATTGTTTCTAATCCTCAATAACAAGGTCCACAGCATTACCCTATCATAGCGAGACTGAGGCTCAGAAGTGAGGAAGGTCTGCAGCCAGGAAGAGGACGCAACTCTGTTCTGTTTGGTTCTGGGACCCCCTTTTCTTTTTAAAGGCCTCCTGTGCCTCCTGCTTGCTGATTTTTTTTTTTGGACCAAGATTTCCAAACCAGGCAGAAGTATGCCCTTGGGAGACACAAACTTGCATTGCCTCTGTTCCCTGCAGGGATGGGCAGGGAGAGGTGCTCTACAGTTTCTGTACTTCATCACCTGTACCTTTTATTAGAACCCAAGTTGATATAGCACATGAATATTGAGCAATCAGGCTGTGTGGGAATATAGTTGTATGTTTTCCTCACCCAGTGTCAAAGGGAAATGTGTACAAGCCTGTCTCACACCTACTGAAAATCCCACTGTCACCACTCATAGCTGAAGGGTCAGAGGGTCCTACCCTGCGAAAGGCCTGATGGATCACAGCCGCCTGGGATAGATGGTGGTCTCCACAGTAAACCAATGACAGTTCTTAGCTCTTGGCAGCATTGATGTTCATTTACACAGGCCTTGTAAGCTGACCCTAGTCTTTAAAAATAGTGGACTCCCCATTTTCGGGCATAATTGGCTGGTTTCCAGAGCCAGCACCATGTTCACCAATACTGAACTGTCTATATCATTCAGCTCTGAGAAACCAGATAGGATAAAACAGCTTAAAAAACAAAGTGGAGTCCAAGTCCAGTTAAGATTTTGTATGCTCACTTGGTCCCACCAAACTCCTGAAAGCAAGTAAAGCCTTGGGCAGAATGCACAGAGAAGCACTCTGGGGACTCTGAGATAAGTGATATCAGGCAGATTGGAGAAGAAATCCATAACTCAAAGTAAAGACCAATCTGGCCACAAGTTTCCTGAACTCCTTTTTCTCCCCTCAACCGTTTCTCTTGGCTTGGACTCAAGGGCAGCCCAGAACACAAAACTTTGCACCAGATGAGGACAGAAAGATTTCTGATTTCCAACAAGAGCCTCTCTTTCTGGTCCAAGGAACAGGAAATGGATTTTTAAGGGTCAGAGACAGTAAGGGAAATCTGTTTGGTGTTCTGTTTTTTGTTTGTTTGTTTGTTTGCTTGCTTGCTTCTCTCCTGTCTCATCCCAGGCCACCCTGTATCCCTGGAGTCATCCAGGCAGGCATCTAGAAGCTGGAAGAAGAGAACCATTGTCTTTGACCAAACTGTGGTCCTCAGAGCTGGGGGGTTGCTTTGTTTTCTCTACCCTACTGCCACTTGGCTCTAGAGGCAGAAACAGTTGCAAGAAGTGTGCAACAGATTTAGAAAACAAAATCCAGCCAGAAGACCAAAAAGTCGGGGGAGAAGAGATGCTCCTGGGAGCCACAGAGTTCAGAGAGATTGCAACAGGGAAGAAATTCAGGAAAAGTGATTCTGAAAGTTGTATAGCAACTCTGAACTCTCCTGAGCTGCCTCTGTTTAAAGGCAGAGGTGATTTCTTCATTGTGTGATCAAAGAGTATACTTACACAAACCTAAATGGAATAACCTACTACAGACCCCTAGGTGCTTTTTAAAAGTAAAAAGTCCTGCTTTAAAAATATGTGTGTGTGTGTGTGTGTGTGTGTGTGTGTGTGTGTGTACAACCATGTGCTGCATAATGATGTTTTGGTCAATGACAGATTGCATATATGACAGTTGTCCCATAAGATTGTGATACTATAATTTTACTTTACCTCTTCCAGGTTTAGATACACAAATACTTACCCTTGTGTTACAATTGCCTATAGTGTTTAGTACAGTAACATGCTGTACAGGTCTGTAGCCTGGAAGCAATAGACTAGATCATGTAGTCTACCTAGGTCTATAGTAGGCTATACCATCTAGGTTTGTGTAAGTGCACTCTTTGATGTTCACATAATGATGAAATTGCCTAAGGATGTATTTCTCAGAAAGTATTCACATCATGAAGTGACATGTGCCTCTATCTCTATCTCTGCTGATACCTATACTTACACCTGTATCTCAGAAAGTGTGGAAAAACAGTTGTGGTGCAGAAAAACATTTGAAGGAAAAATGGCTGAAAACTTCCAACAGTGATGAAAAAGATAAAAATTACAAACACAGGAAGGAAGCTCAGCGAACTCCAAACAAGATAAATAAAGAAATTCACACTCAGACACATAATCAAACTGCTCCAAATTAAAGAAAAAACATGAAAGCTGCCGGAGAACAATGACGTATCACCCACAGGGGAACAGCAATAGGAATGACTGCAGGTTTCTCATCAGAAACCACAGGGGCCAGAGGTGCTGGAAACATCATTTTTAAAGTGCTGAAAGAAAAGAACTATCAACCCAGACTGTGACAGTATCCTTTATAAATGAAGGCAAAATAAAGACATTATCAGATGAGTGAAAAATAAGTTTTTGCCACTAACTAAGCTGCTGTAAAAGAAATGTCCAAGGAAGTTCTTCAGGTGAAAGGGAAACTATACTAGAGAGGAACTCCAAACTTTGGGGATAAAGGAAGTGCAATGGAAATGCTAAATATCTGAGTAAATGTGGAGTATTTTTCTCTTCTAAATACCCTTAAAATATGTATGTGATCGAAAGAAAACTAACACTGTGTGATGGAGTTGTCAAAGTATGTAGATGTCATACATAAGACAACTACTACATAACGGGGAAGTGAGCAAGACCTATATGGTGGTAAGGGTTTTACACTGCTTTTGAAGTGGTGAAAGGTTAATTTTAAGCAGACAGTAAAGTATGTGTATTTTAATCCTCAGAGCAATCACTAAGGCAATATATAAAAAGATATAGTAAATAGTAAAAAACTAAATATATAAATGAGAATAAAACAGTTTAAAAATTCAAATAATACAAAGAAGGCAGGAAAAGGGAACAGAAGGAGCAAACAGACAACAACTATTAAAATGATAGACTGAAACTCAAACATAGCAATACTTACATTAAGTGAAAGTGACCTACATGCTCCAATTAAAAGACACAATTATCAGGATAGATTACAAAAGAAAAAGACCCAATTGTATGTTGTCTATAAAGAAAGTATACTTTAAATAAGCAACAGTGAGTTGAACTAAAAGAATGTAAAAAGACATACCATGCAAACACTAAAGGAAGGATGTAGTGACTTTATTAATGTCAGATAAAGCATATTTCAGAACAAGAAAATTTACAGGAAGTAAGACCATTACTTATTAATAAAATGATCATTTAACCAATAGGACAAAAAAATCCTAAATGTGTATGTACCTAACAGCAGAGCTTCAATTTAAATGAAGCAAAAACATAAAATTGAAAGGAAAAATGGATAAATTTACCATTAGAATTGGAGACATCAATACTTGTCTCTCAGCAGTCAATAGAACAGGTAGAGAGAAAATCAGCAAGGAAAAGGGTTTCTCAACCTTGGCTCTGTTGACATTTTAGACCAGGTAATTATTTGTTGTCAGCAGGGGGTAGGATGGTGACAGGGCTTGGGGGAAGACCTGCCTTGTACATTGTAGAATGTTTAGCAGAGTAAGGCCAGAAGATTCTACCCACTGGTTGCCAATAGCTGCCCACTAGTTGTAACAATCAATAATGTCTCTTGACATTGCCAAATGTCCACTGAGGAGCAAAATTGCCTGGAGATGAGAACTGCTAGTATAGAATAACTCACTATTACCACTGACCAACTGAATCTGACATGTATAAAGCACTCTACCTAGCAACTGCAGAATACAAACTCTTTTCAAGTACATATGGAATATCCACTAACACAGACTATATTTTGGGTCATGAAACAAGCCTTAACGAATTTAAAGGAGTTGAAATTGTACAAAAAAGTACAAGCTGGTTCTTTGAAAAGATTAATGAAACAGATAGCCAGACTGACAATTTAAAAAAAAAAGAAAGAGAAGCCAAATTACACATATCAGGAGTTAAAGGGAGGATTTACTAAATCCCACAGGCATTAAAGGGATAATAAGAGAACAGTACAAACAACTCTAAAAAAAAGAGGAACTTAGATAAGATCAACTAAAAACTACTAAATATTTGCGAAGGAATGAAAACCCAAATAGACCTGTATTTATTGAAGAAATGGAATTCACGGTTGAAACCCTTTCAAAAAAGAAAACCCAAAGCCCAGTAGTCTTATTGTTAAATTCTATCAAACATTTAAAGAAGACTGTCTTGGTCCACTCAGGCTACTATAACAAAGTACCATAGACTAGTTGGCTTGTAAGCAACATAAATTTATCTCTCACTGTTCCAGAGGCTGGGAAGTCCAAATCAAGTCACTGGCAGATTTGCCATCTGGTAAGAGCATGCTACCTGGTTCATAGATGTTTTCTTGCCGTGTCCTCACATGGTAGAAAGAGAGCAAAACAATTGTCTGGAGCCCCTTTTGGTAATGGCATAAATTCCATTTATGAAGTCTCCACCCTCAAGATCTAATTTCCTCATGATCTAAATGCCTCACTTTCTGATACACTCACACTGGAGATCAGAGTTTCAATACAGATTTTTGGGGGACACAAACATTCAATCAATTGCAAAGACATACTAGCAATTTGATATGATCTCTTTCAAAAAAAAATAGAATAGAGAGTGATTCTCAACGTATTTTCTGATGTCAGCATTACCCTGATGCTAAAATCACACAAAGACATATAAGAAAGAGATCTTCAGACCAATATTCTTCATGAACATAGTTACAAAAATCCTCAACATAGTATTAGCAAATTGAATCCAGTAACAAGTAAAAAGAATATAAATGACAGCCCAAACTTACTCAATACTTGGGAATCAGTTAATGTAACATACCATATTAACAGACTAAAAAGAAAAAAAAAAGATCTTATAATTGATGCAGAAAAGACATTTGACAATGTAACATCTGCTAGTGATTAAAAACTCTCAGCAAACTGGTAATAGAAAGGCCCTTCCTTATCTGGCTAAAGGACGTCCACAAAAAAGCTAGAGCGGACAAAAAACCAAATACCACATGTTCTCACTCATAGGTGGGAATTGAACAATGAGAACACATGGACACAGGAAGGGGAGCATCACACACCGGGGCCTGTTGTGGGGTGGGGGGAAGGGGGAGGGATAGCATTAGGAGATATACCTAATGTTAAATGACGAATTAATGGGTGCAGCACACCAACATGGCACATGTATACATATGTAACTAACCTGCACGTTGTGCACATATACCCTAAAACTTAAAGTATAATTTAAAACAATTGAAAAAAAAGAAAAAAAAAGCTAGAGCTAGTATCATACTTCGTGAAGGACAGAAGGTTCTTCTCTGAAGTTTGGGACTAAGACAAGAGAGCACACTTTCACTATGTCTGTTCAGTATTACTTTGGAAATTCTAACCAGTGCAATAATGCAAAAAATAAAGGCATACAGACAGAAAAGAATGAAATAAAACTGTTCTTATGCACAGATGTCATGACTGTCCACATAGAGAATCCCACAGAATTTTAAAAAGATTCTTGGAACTAATAAGTGAGTTTAGCAAGGCCATAGGATACAAGGTTAGCACACAAAACACCCATTGCATTTCCATATTACTAGCTATTAACAATTGGAAACTGAATTATGAAAAATAATAATGCTCCAAATAATAAAATACTTCTATATTTCACATAAATAACCAAAATATGCAGGATTTTTATAATGAAAATTATAAAATGCTGATGTAAGAAAGCAAAGAAGATCTAAATAAATGGAGAAACATACCATGTTCGTGAATTGGATGACTTAATGTCAACTCTCCCCAAATTGGTCTAATCAAAATTACAGGAGGATTATTTACATATATGGATGAATAGATTTTAAAACTTATATGAAAGGAAAAGAAACTAGGAATGGAAAATAATTTTGAAAAAGAATAATAGAGTTGGAGGATTATGTGTCCCAATTTTAAAATTTACCATATAGTTACAGCATGTGGTATTATTGGTGATGGGACAGGTAGATAGGTCAATGGAACAGAAAATAGAGTCCAGAAATAGATCTACACAAACATGGCCAAATGGTCAATTGATTTTTGAAAAAAGGTCAAAGGATGTTCAATGGAGAGAAAATGAACTCTTTAACAAACGATGTTGAAATTGGTTATTTATATGCAAAAATTAAACCTTGGCCTAATTAACACACATTGACTCAAAATGGATCATAGATTTGAATGTAAAATGTAAGACTATAAAACTTTGAAAAGAAAATGAAGGAGAAAATCTTCATGACTTTGAATCAGGCAAAAGCACAATTTACAAAAGATAGTATTAATAAGTTGAACACAATTAAAAGCTCTGTGGAAAAAAAAAACGTTGAGCATGAAAAGACAAGCTACAGACTGGAAGAAAATAGTGCAAATCATATATATCATAGATATCTGGTATCCAAAATCTATAAAGATCTTTTCAACTCAACAGTAAGAAAGCAAACAATACAATTTTTTTTAATGTCCAGAATATTTAAAGATACATTTCAAGATAGAAATGTACAGACACAAAAATCGATAGTGCAAAGTTTTGGCAAGGAGATGCTGCAACTAGAGTTCTCATTCCTTGCTGATGGGAATGCAAAATGGTATAGTCTCTTGGAAGACACTTCGGAAATTTCTTATAAAATTAACCATATAGTTATTATATCATCTGGCATTTTCCCAACTAAGTATTTACCCTAGAAAAGTAAAATTCCATGTTCATACTGAAACCTGTTCACAGGTATTTATAGCTGCTCTATTCATAATTGCCCCAAACAGAAAAATAATAAATGTCCTTCAATGGGTGGATTCCTAATACTGTACAGTAGTCCCCCTTATCTGCTATTTCCATTTCCACATTTTTAGTTCCCCAGATTGGAAATATTAAATGGAAAACCCCAGAAATAAGAAATTCATACATTTTGAATTGCTCACTGTTCTGAGTAGTATGAGGAAATCTCAGGCCATCCTGCTACATCCCACCCAGACCTTGAATCATCCCTTTTTCCAGTGGATTCACTCTGTAAATGCTAGCTGCCTGTTCGTCACTTAGTAGCTGTCCTAGTAGTGAGTAGTGATGCTGGTAGTTCAGATATGCCAAAGAGAGAGATGCCTTAAAGTGCTTCCTTTAAGTGAAAAGGTGAAAGTTCTTGACTTGGGGAAAAAAACAAATCATATGCTGAGGTTGCTAACATCTACAGCAAGAATGAATCTTCTATCTGTGAAGTTGAGAACAGTAAATTGTTGAAATTGTTCTATTTTATGATGAATTGTTGTTCATCTCTTACGGTGCCTAACTCGTAAATTAAACTTTATCATAGGCATGTTTTCCTATAGGAAAAACATAGTGTACTATAGTGGTTTCAGGTATTCAATGGGGGTCTTAGAACATATCACCTGTGGGTAAGCGAGGACTGTGGTAATGGAATACTACTAAACACAAAGTCTACGGATACATGCGACAACTTGGATGAACCCTAAAGCATTTTGCCTAATAAAAAAATGTCTCAAACGTCTACATGAATGGAATGATTCCATTTATGTCACCTTCTGAAAAAGCCATAACTTTAGGTGCAGAACAAATCTATGGTTGCAGGGATTAGGGGTTGGGGAAAGGCTTGACTAGAAGGGAGAGTCACAAGTGAGTTTTCTGGGTTGGTGTCACTGCCTGCACCCTGACAGTGATGGTGGTTACATGAATCTGTACATCTGTTGAAGCTTAGAGAACTGTGCCCAAAAAGGCAATTTTACTGCAGAAACATTTTTAAAAAATCGTTTTTAAAAAAACTTTACAAAATAGTTGGGACTCCATATTCTACTTCTGTTCCTCTCACTGTGTCTGCTGGCTTGTCCCACGTTGGAAGTCTGTGATTTTGTTAAGCCCCCACACAACCAGTTCTGCCCCTGAAAGGGCATCCAAATAGGTAGCATCTGGGCACCACTGTGGTCCAATGTGTATGTCTCCCTGGTGTATGCACTGGGGGGATGTTGTGTACCACAGGGAACAGATGTTCGCAAGCTGGCATGTCAGAAAAACTGTCTACTGTGCTTGAGTTGAAATCTTCATTAAAAAGAGATGAATTGAGATCAAGGAAGTCTATGCACTCATCTGATGTTTATCAATGGCTTCTCCCCATGGTAGATTTGCCAGATTTAGCAAATAAAATTGCAAAATCCCCAGTAAAATTTGAGCTTCAGGTAAACAACAAATAGTTTTTAGTATATATATATATATATGTCCCAAATACCGCATAGTCCTGTATTTTATTTGGCAACCCTATCCCATGGGCCTAAACAATCAGTAAATTTTCATTTATCTATGGTCATTATTAGTGCTTACTCATGCATTCGTTCATTTGTTCATTCACTGTATGAGCATATTGAGTGCCTACCATTTATCAACCCTCTGAGCAACACAGATAAACAGTAATCAGGCCCAGTCCTCAAGTTGAAATAGTTCAAATCTAGATTCTCACTGATTCTGGCCACCAGATTCCCCTGAACACCAAAAACCTGGGCTGCCTTTTGGTTTTCTTCTACTATCTAAGATAAAATTCAGCTCAGGGAGGCCAAACACACTGAGCATGGCTTAGAGAGAATCCTGGACAGGAAGGGGTGCTTCCAGCAAATGGGACATCCAGCCAGTTGGGCCCAGCTGTGCCGGTTGCCCACAGCCCACCCACACTGTGAGAAGAAGCCCTCCCAGCTCTGATGAATGGTGATGAGGAAGCAGCACGGAGCTGGCTACAGAGAACTCCTCCGTTAAGGAGCCTCTCTCCAAAGGGCCCTTTGGCTCCAAGCCTGCCCATTAATCACCTCAAGGTAAAGTGAGGGCTGGCTAGGATAATGTACTTCACCTCCCCAGGGAGTCTGGGTCCCTAGGCAGCCCCGGGGCCAGATGGGGCACAGTGAACTTCCACCCTTTCTGCGCTTCTCCCTGGGGTCACCCGACCTTGGCAGGGACCCTTCCTCTCAGTTATAGAAGGCAGAGTGTGTTGTGTGGCTCAGGGTCCATCCTGACCCCCTAAGCTGCCCAGTACCACTAGAAGCAGACCCAGTGCCAGAAGCCATGATCTTTTGATCATCTGTTTGAAACTGGCTAGATGGCCTATTATCAGTTCATAGAATTCTTGAAATGTAAGAGTGGGATCAACCCACACAAGGGAAGCTGATAGTTATAGGGAGAAAGATGTAAGTAGATAAGCAGATAGATGGGCGAATAGACAGACGAATGGATGTATTTATGTATGGTTGGATGGATAATAGATTTCATTTCACATGAACAGCTTAGCAGCTCAAATATAAGAGGTTTCTAAAGGTACTGTGTCTTTTTGTTCTTGTACAATTTTTTTTTATACTTTGGAAAAAGTGGCCCAGTTGGTTTGACTTTAATTTCTAATTAATTTTTTCTCTTTAGTCATTGTGAATCAAACAGCATGGTGGGATACCCCATGGATATCTAAATTAAAAAAGTAATGGCAACCAATATATTAATGTCATCCAAATATTTGCAAGCATTTCCAGTTGTAAGACCCTTGTCAATATGATACTAGAATTTGTCTGGTGCTTCACACTCATGTATCTTTGACTACAATTTTAAGCAGACTGACTTTGTTTCTATATTTCTGACATCCCTAAATAGCTTGCTAACACAATCTTACAATAATAATTTCATTCTTTCAACTGATCCATTGAGATACAGGATAGACACATGGAACTGAAACCCCCATAGACACTGCCATTTCACAGCCAGTATTTGGGACTAGCTTTGTAGGCAGTTTCATGTCATGTGGATGAGAAATATCTTTTACTTGTCGGTCATCTCTTAAAAGGAAATGATGCAAACTTCCCTCAACAACTCACTCATTCAAAGGTAACTGCATTTGTTCTCTCTCCCGACCCTCATATTTACTGGGTGTGTAACAGGCCAGCTCACCTAACTGTGACCTCCCGAGTGGCTTCAGATCACTCTGTGTCCTCTGCCCCTTCCCAGAATGGTCATGCTCCCTCTAAAGAGAGGCGGGGCTGTATCTTCACAGATGAAGTCCATGGGAGGTGGAGACCTGCACTGTCATAGTGGGTCCTGTGTATGTAATGGGTGTGTTGGGAACCTCTGGGCAGGCCGCTGAAATCAGCACTAACTTTTGACTCAGGCATAGCTTGGAGAATTACCCCTTGTCCAAAGATCATTCTGGGCCCGAAATTGTGTGCTGTGCTACTTGCTCTGCAGTGTTACCTAGATTTAGGAATATAGATTCCTTGGGGGTATAAACATAAAGTGTTTTCATTTTCTCCACTAACTGCCCCAATGTGAGCACTGCTTCCCTGTGGGCAGAAGGACAGATTGCTAGAAAGGGACAGATTAGAGGTGCAGAGATGATGGTGCAGCTCACAGCAGTAGCTCCACCACACTCTGAGCAGAGCTGATGGAGGGATGATGGCAGGAGAGATGCAGAAGCAGGGGTTGGAATCTTACAGGGACTCCACAGTTTGGGGGGATTTCTGACATCAATTTTGGAAATACTGCCAATGTCAAGAGCTCCTCTCTATCATTCACTCATGGTACCAAAGTAATTGCCTCAAACATGCTGCTGGGCCCTTCATGTATGTCTAATCTCCAGAGAAACTAAGCAAAATATCTTATAGTAAAATATTTTTACTATAAGAGAATTGAGACTCAGAGAAGTTAAGTGACTTCCCCAAAGTCACACAGGCAGCAAAGAATACAGCCAAAGTCAAACCTCAATGTGTCTGATACGCAAGCTGGTGTACAATCTTTCTATACACTGTGCCACCTCTCTCTCTCCTCCCTCTGTTGCCTGTGCTCCCCCAGTGGCAAATGCCTCATCCTGGGGATACATTGCTGGCCCCCACTGCCTCCCGGGAGAGGAAGCCATCCTGGAATCCTATGACTCTCAGGCTGAAAGACACACCCACTTCTGCACAGGAGTTTAAGGAAGGCCACTAGCCCCTCCATGGCCCCAGGCCCCAGGAAGGGTGTTCCTGTTTTGCTGGAATCTCTGACATTGGAACCAAGGATTGTCAGAGTCCCCAGAACTCTGGGTGATGAGACACTTGCTCCAGCCCATTTTAATTTGGCATGGATTGGCCTGGGAACTGCAATGTCACCCCCTAGAGAGTCTGCTAAATGAAGGATGGTGTGCACTCTGGCTGAAGCAGCCAGCCAACGCAACAGATTGAGGAGACAGAGAGGCAGCCTTAGCCAAAGTCCCTGCAGAGGTTCAGTAATGCAGATGTTCCACTGACCTTTTGGAGGAACTGACCACAGGCAAATAAGGTCCCTGAAGAAATCATTTCAGTGTGACCCATTGTCTGCTCACTCCACTGTCCAGGGGCCAATATGTAGGATGTTCATTTTCATAGATGTACCATATATATGTGGGTATATTTCTAAATATATACAAATAGTATGAATGTTAATGATATTTTAATAGCATTAATGGAGTCATTTAACTGTAAGAGCTTGGTAATTGACAATGAAAGAGAGAAAGAGAAACAGTTTATGGGGCACACATAATGCCACGAGCCAGTTCACTTCATAGGCATGTGTCCCCAAGTAGGTGGCAATGGAGGCAGGAACTCGTTGTTTCTCAGCTTCTCCAGTCCCTGCAGGCCCAACGCAGTGTGAACGCCTTGCCACATGGAGTGTGAGTCAAGAGTGTGAAGACACAGGATTTTCATGTAGCATTGCCCAGGGACATTGGCCAACTGCATTCTCTGGTTCTCACCAGAGAGGCAGTGACCTCTTTGCCCTGGAGAGCTGCAGGCTGCTGTAGTGCCCCTGTATCAGGGGCGGCTGTATGCAGACTGCCTGAAGTTTGATTTTTACCGTGTGAGCTCACTTGAAAGTCTAACCTCTCGTTAAGTACTTCTGCTGTTGCCAAACAGCAGCCGTCTCTATGTGCTGGTCAAATGATGCCTCCCCCGAACCCTCCCCCCTGCTTCCACACACATCCTCAGACCCATGCTAAGAGGTACATCATGCCCGTGTCTTCATAAAGTGACCTCTCCTTTGCCATTTCAGTCATCCGCAACACTCTCCTTTGTGGTAGGAATATCCCTCCTATTGTGGGTGGTGGGGGGAGGGGAATATGTGTGAGAAGTTTGTCCAGGCTCACACAGCTGCCTTATTCCAGCACTTCTGTGGGATGCGTTCTTCCCATTACGTCAAAACTTCCACCCACATGCCTGTAAAGTAGCAAATGGAGTGTCTGTATAAAAATTCTCAGGTTCACTTCATTTGGCAATTATCTGGTTAATTTGATCAACCAAGCTCTAAGTGTCTTACTGGGATATTATGCATTTATAGCTTTGTCTGCCCCTAGTATTATTTACTTCTCTATCCTTCGCACCAGCGTGGCTCTGCACATGTGCTGCCTGGAAAGCCGTTAGCTGTCAAACTGCCCTCTTTCCCCTAGCGGATAATAAGAATTCAACTTTTATTTGGAGCAAAAGTTCCCAAGAGGTCACACGGCCCAATAACAAAAGATTATGCTTTCTTATTGGTTTAATAGCATCTATTTTGTAATTCTGGATGTACTCTGTTTTAATTGGATTTGTTAAAGGAACAAAAGGGAATAAGCACCTTACAATTAAAATAAAATATTAAGATGATTAGTTTAACAGACTAGAAATGCCTTGTTCATCCACCCTATGTTCAAAACACACAAACCAACCTCAAGAGAAGCAAAAGTCAAAGAACCAAAGGCAGACCTGGCCCCTTTGAAGCTCATGAGGTGAGCAGTGATTCCATTCCACCCAATGTGTTTTAAGCGCTGCTATTGCCAGACAGGTGTTATTTTGTCTTCTCCTCACAGCTCCTCTCCTCCCGCAGATTAGGAAACTGGGTCTCAGAGAAGCGGCTTGGCAGGGAAATGTGCCAGGGCTTTGGCTGTAGTGGGTGTGCCCAGCCCCCTGTTTACCTTCCCCATGACCCTGGATGGTCTCCTGAACCCCACAAGCTTCAGCCTGAACTCCTGTAAAGAGGATGTAAAAGTGGCTGCTTCCCAAGGTCAGGGGAGGGCAATGCGTGGCCCTTGGAGGCTTTGGTTTTGACGTGTGTGTGTGTGTGTGTGTGTGTGTGTGTGTGTGTGTGTGTGTTGGTGGGGGTTGGCACAGGAGGCAGCAGCATGGATGGGACCACACAACTGACCAAATGGGGAACCTGGACTCCAGGTGCCAGCCCAGTAGAAACCCTATTCAGACCCTGCAGCCTAGCGTCCTTATGGACCGTGACCCCTGCCTCCCTGAGTGCAGGCTTTCAGTTAATTTATCCTGGGGGCCAAGAGGACACATTGCTCCTTTGAGCTGCACAGGCCCCCTCGTATCATGCTGGGGCATCTCCTCACATGGAATTCTTTCTGCACTTCACACCCTCTAGTTCTGGTGAGGGCCCACTGGCGACAGCCCAGAGTCCACTGGAGCACCCCATCTGCCGCAGGACAGCTCGCAGCCCTGTGGCAGCTTTGCTGACCGCCTATCACCTGGGAAGGTGTGAAATGACTGCAAAGGGGAATGCTGAGGGTCAGCTCTAAGGACACAGCTGAACTTCCCACAGCCCTTTGAAGTCATTCACTCATCAACAGTATTTGTTGAAAACCTACTATGAATGAGGCACTGTTCCAGGCAGCAAAGAAAATGAAGGTCCCGCTCACATTCTAGAAAAATCAAGCAAAAATAAGGTGTAATGACAGGTGTGATGGATGTTAGGAAGAGAAAGAGTCAGGATAGAGACATAGAGATTAGAAGAGAAGAGTTGGAAGATGCGCTTTTTTAGAAAGGGGGAGGCCAGGAGGGCCATCTTTGAGAAGATGATACCTGAGCAGAGATCAGAGGAAGTGAGGATTCAGGGAGAGAATTTCAGATGGAGGAAACATCAAGTGGAAAAGTCTCTTTGCAGAGAGGAGGGGATGGACAACAAGAGGAAGGAGAGAAGGAGGACAGAGGAAGAAAGAAGGAAGGAGGAAAGGAAGGGAGGGTGGGAGGAGGCACAATAAAAGATAATAAAGAGGAGAAACCCAGCCCTGAGGCTGGTACCAGGCATGGGGTTGCACTGGGCTGGTCTCAATAGCCTCTAGGCTCCAGCAGGAAGCTATTGTGTCCTGGACTCCATACTCCAGGCCAGTGAGTGTGGGCATCAGGGGGCAGTGGAAATAGCCCAGCATGGGAGGAAGTTGATTGGGTGGGTTAGAGGCTGCCTCTGCCACGTGCCCCCTGAGGTCCATGGCCAAGCCCCTTGCTCCTCTTCTCTGCCTATACTTATTGTGCTGGTCTACACTCACTCTCCTGGTAAGCCCACCTAGTCTCATTGCTTTGAATACAGTCTATACACTAACGATTGCCCGGTGTTTGGTTCTTGCCCGGACCTTGCTCCCCAATTCTGGACTCACTTAGCCTACTGCCTACTTAGCATTTCTTCTTGGATGATGATAAGCATCTCAAACCCTGTCTGTCCCAAGCCCAGCTCCCAGCCAGCTGCTCCACCACAGCCTCTTCCGGCTGGGCTGACAGCCTTGGCCTCCTGTGGATACTCAGGGCCCAAACTGTGGCATCAGACTTGACAACTCTTCTTCCATCCACCCCCAATTAATAAAGCAGACTGACCTTCCCCCACACACTGATGCCCCTTATTTCTCTGCACTTCTCCTCCAATAGCATCTGGCATCTAAATGTAGTTTATGATGCATTACTTGTTATGCTTGCATTTATTATCTATCCCCCATTCTCCTCCCCCACCTACCCCAAGACACATGGCCTGTCTGGTTCACTTGTCCATTTCAGTTCCTAGCACAGAGTAGGCCCTTGGTCAATACTAGTTTAATAGATACAGTCTAAGCGCTTACAAGGTCAATCCTGATTCCCATGCCCTCAGAAAGGGTCTCAGCTCTCAGCTTTGTCCCAGATTTCATAGCTGAGAGTCAGCTGCTACATAATCAACTTGACTCACTGTTTTTACATGTACTGTTGAAGGATTTCCAGAATATGAATATGTTTTAAGGGAGAGGTCCCTCAGGAAAACTCAGGTTGTCACTTGCATACTAAATATTTGTTGGTCACTGAGTGTGTACCCTCTTGGAGACAGGAATGCTTTCCAAATAGACACAGATGATGGCACGACGGATTGTTTGACCATGAGAACAAGTGCACTATGGGGCTGGAGAGTGATCAGTAGCATCGCACTTGAGGCCACCTTAACTGGGTTAGGCCAAGGGGAGAAGGATGGGAGCCAAGGCAAAGAGACGAGATGAAGCAAGGAAACGGCTGGTACTCTGGGAAGAGGTGGGACTAGGCTATGGAGAACACATGGAGGCCACTTCTAAGAATCTCCCTTCAGGAAATAAGAACAAGACTTTTGATAGAAACATGCTTATGGTGGTGCCATTTAAAATAGTAAAAAAAAATTAGAAACAACCCAAATATCTAACAATAGATGAGTGATTAAATAATTAATGTGTAATCATAGAATGAAATAAATAATAAACAGAAACTAAAACAAAAAAAAATTATTTCCCAAAAATGTCAAAAGGCAAAATGCTGAAGATGTCATGTTAGTGAAAGAAACATTTGTCCGTGTGAGCCCTGTGTTCTCTGGCACACATGCACCCCCATACCCAGAAAAGAGGAGAGAAAGAACGCCAAGAATATCAGCAACACTGCTCTCTGAAGGGACGGTACTGG